>NC_000015.10:88865520-89017035 GCF_000001405.40 Homo sapiens | reverse complement strand
ATTCCACTCCTCTCCTGTCTCTGTGTTCCGCTGGTTTAAATTCCTCATGTGAGTGAGATCATGCGGTATTTCTGAAAGCCGCCATTTCTGCCTACACTGAGCCTGTTTTTTCTGCAGGCAGCCACAGGAAGCACTCCTTTTGGACAGGAGCGACCTCAGTGTTTCCAGGTGAGTGGGTGTCCAGGAAGTGCCCAAGGAGTTGCCTCCAGGAGAATGAATCACTTAGTGGGAAAATAACAAAAGCACTTACTTGCCAAGACGGTGAAGACACTTTATCCAGCAACTGAAAGCGTGTCTTTTTCCACTGCTGCCCTGATGTTGTCACTGGCAAGGAGACTGACTGCAGAAGCCAAGAAAAGGATTCTTGCCCCTTAAAAAACCTTTTGGGCCACAGATGGTGGCCCGGGATGCTTCAACACTCTATGGGGGCGCCGAGATCTGCGGATCACTTGAGGTCAGGAGGCTCCCTGCACTTAGAAGGCTCAATGGAAACTTCCCCCAGTTGAAATCCTGAACCCGGTATCCCTTTTGCATCAGCAGAGCCCTCTGCCTTCTTAGTGAATGATCAGCTACTGAGCCTCAGCTGGGCCAAGAGGCATTTATTGAGTGTTCTGCATATAGTACATAAGGTCTGTGGAGTGAATGTCTGCTTCATTGAGAAAATAAAGGTTTTGGCCAGGTGCGGTGGCTCACGCCTGTAATCCCAGCACTTTGGGAGGCCAAGGTGGGCAGATCACTTGAGGTCAGGAGTTCAAGACCAGCCTGGCTAACACGGTGAAACCCCATCTCTACTAAAACTACAAAAGAAAAAAAAAATTAGCTGGGCGTGGTGATGTATGCCTGTAGTCCCAGCTACTTGGGAGGCTGAGGCAGGAGAATCCCTGAGCCTGTAACACGGAGGTTGCAGTGAGTCGAGATCACGCCTCTGTACTCCAGCCTGGACAACAGAGCAAGACTCTGTCTCAAAAAGAAAAAAAAAAAAAGGTTTAGTAATTCCTTAATTTCTTTCTCTTCTTCCTCCAAGTTTTATATGCATTTGTACTCTTTCTTTCTCTCACCTCTTCCTTCCTTTTTCACATACCATAACATTCATCATGTTAAAGTATACAATTCAATAGCTTTTAGGATACTCACAGAGTTGTGCAACAATCACTACTATCTGATTCGAGAAACTTTCCATCACCCTAAAAAGAAACTCTGTTCCCATGAGCAGTTGCTCCCCCTTTCCCTTCCACCCAGCCTCTGGAAACCACAAATCTACTTTCTGACTGTACCTATTTCTTATTCCGGACACGTCATGTAAGTGAAATCAAAGGATATGTGGCGTTTGTGACTGGGTTCTTTCACTTAGTGTAATGTTTTCAAGGCTCACCCATGTTGTAGCATTCATTAGCACTTTATTCCTTTTTATTGCTGAATAGTATTCCATTGTATGGATATACCACTTTGTTTATTACAGACATGTGATTTCCAAATGTCTTCTCCTATTAGGTGGGTTGTCTTTTCAGTTTTTTTGGTAGTATCCTTTGAAGTACAAAAGCTTTTAGTTTTGGTAAAGTTCAACTTGTCAAACTTGTCTGTTTTATCTTTTGTTACTGTTGACGGACATTTGGGTTGTTTCCACCTTTTGGCTATTATGAATAGTGCTGTAATGAACACTTGTATACAAGCTTTTGTGCAGATACATGTTTTTATTTCTCCTGGCCATACGCATAGGAGTGGAGTTGCTAGGTCATATGGTAATTTTATGCTTAATCTTTTGAGGAACCGTCACACTGTTTTACAACATGGTTTTGCCATTTTATATTCCCACCAACAATATATGAGAGTTCCAATTTCTCCACGTCCCCACTCACGCTTTTCATTGTCTGTGTTTTTGGTTTTAGCCATACTAGTGGATATGAAGTGCCGTCTCATTGTAATTTTGACATGCATTTCTCCAGTGATTGATAATGTTGAATATCTTTTTGTGTGCTTATTGGCCACTTGTATACCTTTTTGGAGACATATCTATTTAAATCCTTTGCCCATTTTAAAATTCGGTTATCTCTTTTTTCTTAAATTATAAGAGTTCTTTATGTATTCTCATATCAGACCTTTATTAGACATGCGATTTGCAAGTATTTTCTCCCATTCTGTGGGTTGTCTTTTCACTTTTTTTGGTAGTGTCCTTTGAAGTACAAAAGTTTTTAGTTTTGATAAAGTCCAGCTTATCTGTTTTTTCTTTTGTTACTTGTGTTTTGTGTCATATTTAAGAAATCCTTGCCTAACCCAAGTTCACAATAATTTACTTCTATGTTTTCTCTATGAGTTTTATAATTTTAGATCTTACATGTAGGCTTTGATCCTTTTTGACTTAATTTTTGTATATGGTGTGATGTAGGGGATTAAACTTTTTTTTTTTTTTTTTTGGATGTGGATATCCAGTTGTCTCAGCACCATTTGTTGAAAAGCTATGTCTTTTCCTCATCGAATGGGCTTGCCACCTTGTCAAAAGTCAATTGCCCATAAATATGTGGGTTTAGTTCTAGACTCTCAGTTTTGTTCTCTTGGTTTATGTGTCTGTCCTTGTCCCAGTACCACTTAGTCTTGAATCAGAAACTGTGAATCCTCTAACTTTGTTCTTCTCAAGATTGTTTTGCCTATTCCGGGTCCCATGCATTTCCATATGCATTTTAGGATCAGCTTTTCAATTTCTGCAAAACAGGCAGCTAGAATTTTGACAGGGATGGTGTTGAGGCTGGGCATGGTGTCTCACGCCTGTGATCCCAGCACTTTAGTAGGCTGAGGCGGGCGATCACCTGAGGCCAGGAGTTCAAGACCAGCCTGGCCAACATGGCGAAACTCCATCTCTACTAAAAATACAAAAATTAGCCAGGCATGGTGGCATATGCCTATAATCTCAGCTACTTGGGAGGCTGAGGCAGGAGAATTGCTTGAACCCAGGAGATGGAGGTTGCAGTGAACCGAGATTGTGCCACTGCACTCCAGCCTGGGAGACAGAGCGGGACTCTGTCTCAAAAACAACAACATTGTGTTGAACTTGTACATTAATTTGAATAGTATCGCCATTTTACCAAGTCTCCCAATCCAAAAACAGGCGGCATCTTCCTTTTATTTATTTCAATGATTGTAGTTTTAGATGTGTATGTCATTCCTTCTTTTGTTAAATTTACTTATAAATATTTTATTCTCTTTCATGTAACTATAAATAGAATTGTTTTTTTAATTTCATTTTTTGGATTATTTCTAGTGTATAAAATACAGTTGATTTTTATATATTGGTCTTGTATCCTTCAACCTTGTTGAGCTTGTTTATAGCTCTCATAGTTGCGCCAGTACATGTGTGTATGTGATTTCTTAGGATTTTCTATGTACAAGATCAAGTCATCGGTGAACACAGAGTTATACTTCTTCCTTTTCAATCTGTATGCCTTTAAATTATTTTTCCTGCCCAGTTGCTTTGGCTGGAAGCTCCAGTACAATGTTAAATAGATGGGGTGAGAACGGACATCCTTGTCTTTTTCCTGATCTTACTGGGAGAGCATTCAGTCTTTCATCATTAAGTCTAATGTTAGCTGTGGGATTTCTGTAGATGTCCTTTATTAGGTTGAGGGAGTTCTCTTCTACTCCTTCTTGTTGAGTATCACGAAAGTTGTTGGAATTTGTCAAATGCTTTCTCTGCATCTATTGAGATGATCGTGTGGTTTTGTCCTTTATTCTATTAACATGGTGTATTACATTGATTGATTTTCAGTGTTAAACCAACTTGGCATATCCTGGAGTAAATCTTGCTTGGTCATGGTGTATAGTCCTTTTTATATGTTGCTAGAGTCCACAAATTCTTTCTTTCTCTCTTATGTACCCTCCTTGTCTCATAGGTTTATTTTTATCTAGCTTCATAATATATGTTTATTTACGTCATAAAAATAATCCATGAATCTCATTCCTTTTTTTTTTTTTTTAGACAGAGTCTCACTCTGTCACCCAGGCCGGAGTACAATGGTGCAGTCTTGGCTCACTGCAACCTCCACCTCCTGGGTTCAAGCAATTCTCGTGCCTCAGCCTCCTGAGTAGCTGGGATTACAGGTGTATGCCATCACACCCGGTTAATTTTTGAATTTTTAGTAGAGACAGGGTTTCACTGTATCGGCCAGGCTGGTCCCAAACTCCTGACCTCAGGTGATCCTCCTGCCTTGGCCTCCGAAAGTGCTCGAATTACAGGTGTGAGCCACTGCGCTCAGCCCATGAACACCATTTCTTAATACTAATTCCCTCGGTTTAACAAAGTAGAACATGCAACATCAACGTCTCCTGCTTCATCTTCCCAACCCCATTCCTACCACCCAGAGGTAGTGATTTTACCACTCTGTTTTGTGTCTTTTCTGTTGTCAGTATTACACTAAATCACTGTTTCTGTCTTGTTTGAAATGTTTGTTCCCCGGTGCCATGAAGAAATAGCACTTGAACATTAATTTAATTCCTCAGCAAGGCCATTTTTATACTTTCTGCAGAAAGGGTACACTCATCAGCAGTTTTGCCATGAGAGCACACCAAACAAAGGAGACAGGGTCATTTATAACCTGACGTGTCTTCCCTACTGCTGTGTCTGGTTTCCACTGGCTTGAGCAGGACCTGACATTCTGTATTTGTCCCGATTGGCTAGCAACTTAGAACTTTTTTTTTTTTTTTTGAGACGGAGTCTCGCTGTCACCCAGGCTGGAGTGCAGTGGCGCGATCTCGGCTCACTACAAGCTCTGCCTCCAGGGTTCATGCCATTCTTCTGCCTCAGCCTCCCGAGTAGCTGGGACTTCAGGCGCCCGCCACCACGCCTGGCTAATTTTTTTGAATTTTTAGTAGAGACGGGGTTTCACTATGTTGGCCAGGATGGTCTCGATCTCCTGACCTCGTGATCCACCTGTCTCGGCCTCCCAAAGTACTGGGATTTCAGGCGTGAGCCACCTCACCCGTCTGCAACTTAGAACTTTTTAAAAGAGGCAAAGGCAGAGGAGAACAAAGGAAGGAGGAAGTAACTTATGGAATGCTGAAAAAGGTAAAAACACCTTCAAATAAGGAAGAGGAACAGGCCATGCTTGGACCAGTATAAGCATGCCAGGGCATATATTTAGGCTAAATTGTGGGAGCTAAGAGCATAAAGTACATTGATTTCTTTATTATGGCTGGCAGATATTTAAGAATGTTAGCATAGGTCTTTGAATAAATTTTGCTTCTAAGAAAAGTTACTATCTATTCCTAATTAGACAGGGAGGAAAGTCTTTGAAGAGGAACCTCTACTTTACTTTTTACAGTCTCATATTTATTGATTTATCAACATCTGACTGTATCCAGAGTAAATAATTTTCAAGCTAGCTCTCTCAGCTCCCTTCCCACCTGTCTTCTCCCCAAGTGTCTGTTATCTGTCTGTTTTCTTCTAGTGGTAGGGTAGATTGTGTTCTCAATGTTGGACGCAACGAGATGTCCCATCCTACGTGCTCTTTTGCAGTATTAATTTGCTTTCCCTCCATTAAGAGGCGGAGTCTAGTTTCCCTTCCCTTGAATTTTGGCTGGCCCTGTGACCTATTTCTATCAATAAAATGCACGAAAAGTGAAAATGTGTACCTTCCAAGGCTGGGGTTCTTTTTGGTTTTGTTTTGTTTTTAAGATGGAGTCTCACTCTGTCGCCCAGGTTGGAGTGCAATGGCACGATTTTGGTTCACTGCAACCTCTGCTTCCTGGGTTCAAGCAATTCTCCTGCCTCAGCCTCCTGAGTAGCTGGGATTACAGGCACGTGCCACCACGTCAGGCTAGTTTTTGTATTTTTAGTAGAGACAGGGTTTTGCCATGTTGGCCAGGTTGGTCTCAAACTCCTGACCTTAGGTGATCCGCCCGCCTAGGCCTCCCAAAGTGCTGGGATTCCAGGCGTGAGCCACCGCGCCTGGCCCCAAGGCTGGGTTTTAAGACATCTGCAACATCTATCTTCAGTTCTTGAGAGGTTCCTTCTTAGAACCCCTTCCCTGAGGAAGCCTGAGCAGCCTGGAGAGAGGCTCACAGGAGAACAGAGGTCCCTGGCCAGCAATCCCAGCTGAGCTTAAGCTGGCTGATAGCACCCACTGCCAGTCATGCAAGTGGGCCATTCTGGAGTCTCCAGCTATCCCAGTGCTTCAGCCACTACCATGAGAAATAGCACCCGCCAACCAAGTGTGACTTGCCTTCCTGGCCCACAGAACCACAAGCAAATAAAATAGTTGTTGCTTTAAGCCGCTAAATGTTGGAGTAGGTTGTTACACGGCAATAGACTGAAACAAATGGTTACACTATAATTCTAAATTCTATACTTAAATTTCTGTTGATTCACTTCCTACTATGTAAAATGTGTTCATCCTGTTATCTCCCCACATTTCCCAACCTCTGTGACTATATCCTTACTTTTACTTTGTCAGTGTTTGTAATACTTACATTCTATCCTCTATAATAAATTATCCCATCCATATAAACATACTTTGCAATAAATTACTCTGTGCATTATCTAGATTTGCTCTGTCCACCGTGGTAGCCACTAGCCATGTGTGGCCCTTGGAACAGGGACAGTCTGAATTGATTTGTGTTGTAGGTGTAATATACAAGATTGCAAAGACTTAGTGCTAAAAACAATATAAAAGGTAAACTCTCTTATTAATAATCGTATGTTGGTTAAATGTTGAAATGGTAATATTCTGGATGTTTCATTAAAATATACATTAGGCCAGGCGTAGTGGCTCAAGCTTGTAATCCCAGCACTTTAGGAGGCTGAAATGGGAAGATCGCTTGAGGCCAGAAGTGTGAGACCAGCCTGGGCAACGTGGTGAAACCCTGTCTCTTAAAAAAATACAAAAAAATTAGCTGGAGATGGTGGTGTACACCTGTAGTCCCAGCTACCTGAGAGGCTGAGGTGAGAAGATCACCTGAGCCTTGGAGGTTGAGGCTGCAGTGAGCTGTATCATGCCACTGCACTCCAGCCTGGGGGACAGAGACCTAGTCTCAAAAAAAAACAAAAAAAAACCTACTTATCTATCAATTACATTAAAATTAATTCTATCTGTTTCTTTTTCCTTTTGTAATGTTATTAGGGGCGGCAAATATGTGGGTTACCAGTGGCAAATACGTATCGGTCTGCAGCTACCTTAATTCTTGCTTCCTCAGAAAAAAGGTTTTGACTGAGGGGCATAAGGCAGAAAAAGAGACCGAGGCAAGTTTCAGAGCAGGAGTGGAAGTTTACTAAAAAGCTTTACAGCAGCAAAGGAAGGAAAGCACACTTGGAAGACACCCAGATGGGCACCGTGAAGGTCAAGTGTGATGTTGGATCTTTTGACTTAGGGTTGTATATGCTGGCCTACTTCCAGTGTCTTGTTCCCATTTCCCTTCATCCTTCCCATACGGCGAGCTGCCCGCATGCACGGTGCCCTCTCTGCGCTTTGGAGGTGAGCATGCACAGTGTGTTTTAGAAGTTGTATGCATGCTCACCTGAGGCATTCTTTCCTTTTCTGGTGGAATGCCCACGAAGTCATACTCCACCATTTTGTCTCTTAATGTGCATGCCTAAACTCACGCGCCCAATTCCGGATAAATTATTGGAAGCTGCTGATGACGAATTTCAAGTGTTTTTATCTATTGAGAAATTGCCTCTCCTTGGTGCCTGTGACCAATTATTTAGTGTGACAACTGTGGGCCATCAGGAAATTGCCTCTCCCTAGCACCAGCTGCCAAATATCATTTTTAGAGAGGCAGTGTGACAACTGCCAAACCATCACCTGATGGTTGCCTGACATTCCTGGTGGGTGAGGGGAGCCCTCTCCTGCCCCACTCATGCCTGATTCAACTTCCTACTGTAACAATGTGGCTACTAGAACGTTTAAAATGACTTAATGTGGGCATGGTGGCTCACATCTGTAATCCCAGCACTTTGGGAGGCCGAGGAGGGTGGATCACGAGGTCAGGACTTCAAGATCAGCCTGGTCAAGATGGTGAAACCCCATTTCTACTAAAAATACAAAAATTAGCCGGGTGTGGTTGCGAGTGCCTGTAATCCCAGCTACTTGGGAGTCTGAGGCAGGGGAATCACTTGAACCTGGGAGGCAGAGGTTGCAGTGAGCCAAGATCATGCCACTGCACTCCAGCCTGGGTGACAGAGCAAGACTCTATCTAAAATAAATAATAAAATAAAATAAAATAAAATAAAATAACCTACGTGGTTCACGTTTCCACTGAGATGTGGGCTTTAGGAATTGAAAACCAATTGTAGGCTGTGTGTGGTGGCTCATGCCTGTAATCTCAACACTTTGGGAGGCCAAGACAGGCAGATCATCTGAAGTCAGGAGTTCCAGAGCGGCCTGACCAAAATGGTGAAACCCCGTCTCTACTAAGAACACAAAAATGAGCTGGGCATGGCGCACGCCTGTAATCCCAGCTACTCAGGAGGCTAAGGCAGGAGAATTTCTTTAACCCGGTAGGCAGAGGTTGCAGTGAGCCAAGATGGCGTCACTGCACTCTAGCCTGGGTGACAGAACGAGACTCTGTCTCAGACAAAAAAAAAAAAAAAAGAAAACCAACTGTAGTGGGCTGAATGGTGGCCCCCCAAAGGACATGTCCATGACCTAATCTCTGGAACCTGTGAATATGACCTTAGTTGGAAAAAGGTCTTTGCAGATATAATTATATCTTTGCAGATATAATTGATTTAAAATCTCAAGATGAGGAGATTATCCTAGATTAGCCAAGTGAAGCTTGAATACAGACAGTGACAACTGTCCTTATAAGAGACACACAGAGAAGATACAGAGAAGGGGAAAAAGCAGTGTGACCACAGAGGTAGAGATTACAGTGATGTGGCCACAAGCCAAAAAATGTCTGGAGCCACCAAAAGCTGAAAGAGGCAAGAAAGGATTCTTCCCCAGGACTTCAGAGGAAGAGCAGCCTGTCAAGACATTGATTTCAGACTTCTGGCCTCCAGAACTGTGAGAGAATAAATTGTATGTTGTTAGTTTAAGCCACTATGTTTGTGGTAATTTGTTACAACAGTCCTAGGAAACCAATACACCCATAAATATTGTTTATAATGTTAGGACAAAAAATTGTGATGAGTGGCCGGGTGCGGTTGCTCATGCCTGTAATCCCAGCACTTTGGGAGGCTGAGGAGGGCAGATCACTTGAGGTCAGGAGTTCGAGACCAGCCTGGCCAACATAGTGAAACCCCGCCTCTACTAAAAATACAAAAATTAGCTGGGCGTGGTGGCGTGCACCTGTAATCCCAGATACTTGGCAGGATGAGGCGGGAGAATCGCTTGAACCCAGGAAGCAGAGTTTGCAGTGAGTCAGATCGTGCCACTGCACTCCAGCCTGGGTGACAGAGCAAGACTCTGTCTCAAAAAAAAGATCCATAAGGAATTAAATGTAATTATTTGCACTGCACTTGTGCTGCTTGAAGGAGACATTCTAAGAATCCAGGTGGAATGGCCACCCAGTTATCATACTTCATCTGTTTCTCAATATTAGCCTCTTTCAGATCAGCAATTGCTTTGGGGTGAGGAGGATTGACTGGGAAAGGACATGAGGAAAATTCTGGGGTGATGAAATATTCTTTGTCTTGATAGGGGTATATGTTAAATGAGGGTATTTCTATCTCAAAATAAATACAACATGAACCACAGATGTATTTTAAAATTTTCTAGTAGCCCCATTACAAAACAAAAAAGAAACAGATGAAATGAATGTTAATGCTATATTTTACTTACATTATTTGATAAAAATGGTTGGATGCTACTCTTAAAATCTGAGTATTTTTCCATGTGTACATTATACCTCAATTAAGAAAAATAGACTGGGTACAGTGGCTGACACTTGTAATCCTAACACTTTGGGAGGCTGAGGCGGGCAGATCGCTTGAGCCCAGGAGTTTGAGACCAGCTTGGGCAACATGGCAAAACCTTGTCTCTACAAAAAATACAAATATTAGCGGGGCATGGTGGCACATGCCATCAGCTACTTGGGAGGCTAAGGAGGGAGGATGGCTTGAGCCCTCGAGGTGAAGGCTGGAGTGAGCCGAGATTGCACCACTGCACTCCAGCCTAGGGAACACAGAGAAAACCTGTCTCGAAAAGAAAAGAAGATGGATCACGAGGTCAGGAGATCGAGACCATCCTGGCTAACACAGTGAAACCCCGCTTCTACTAAAAACACAAAAAATTAGCCAGGTGTGGTGGCGGGTGCCTATAGTCCCAGCTACTCGGGAGGCTGAGGCAGGAGAATGGCGTGAACCCGGGAGGCGGAGTTTGCAGCGAGCTGAGATCGTGCCATTGCACTCCAGCCTGGGTGACAGAGCAAGACTCTGTCTCAAAAAAAAAAAAAAAAAAAATATATATATATATATATAAATAAAAAAGAAAAGAGGAGAAAAGAAGGGAAAGAGAAAAGGCTTGCTTCACATATGGGCCACAACTTACATAACCTTTTGTTTTTCCTGGAGTTTTGTTTATTGCTTCTCTGGCTTTTTTACTGATGGAGAGACAAAGATCATCCTCTTTCATAAACATTATTTGTTGATTGGAATCCACTTTCTTCTTGAAATCATTTTTTAATGTAATTAAAAATTTGCTATTCTAACTGAACCACTAACTTTGCTGGTCTGTGGACAACTGTCATTCTGGGATTTTTTTTTTTCCACATTGTGCTCCTCAGTTAATTTCACTATTTCCTGTTTGTGAATTCGTTTTTTATTTTGCTGGAGTATGTCTTTGAACCTTTTTTTTCCCCAGAAAATGCACGCGGGTGTACATCTATAGCATCAAAACTCCCTGAGAACTTGGAAGGCGCTCTTTCAATATATATCTTAGACGTCTTCTAGAACCCAATATTGCCGATGACAAATTTGATGCTAGTTGCAGGTGACCTGTTTTCCTCACTCCAGAAACATGTAGAAAGCTTTTCATTATCCTTAGAGTGCTGCAGTATTACCAGGCTGTGTCTAGTTTTGTTTTTGGCTTTTCTTTGTCTTGCTTGACACTTGAACTCTTTCAATCTGAAGATTCATGTCTTTCTTCAACTTAGGGATTTTTTTCCTATTATTTCTTTCTTCCCCCCACCCAACCCCGAGACACAGTCTTACTCTGTCACCCAGGCTGGAGTGCAGTGGCATGATCTTGGCTCACTGCAACCTCCGCCTCCTGGGTTCAAGCAATTCTCCTGCCTCAGCCTCCAGAGTGGCTGGGATTACAGGTGTATGCCACCATGCCCAGCTAATTTTTTTTTTCATATTTTTAGTAGAGACGGGGTTTCACCATGTTGGCCAGGCTGGTCTTGAACTCCTGACCTTGTGATCCGCCAGCCTCAGCCTCCCAAAGTGCTGGGATTACAAGCGTGAACCACCGCACCCGGCATTTTTCCTATTATTTCTATCCTCTCTCTTTTCTCTCTCTCTCCTTTTTTTTTTTTTTTTAATTGAGACAGAGTTTTGCTCTTGTCCCCCAAGTTGAAGTGCTGTGGCGCGATCTCCACTCACTGCAACCTCCGCCTCCCAGGTTCAAGTGATTCTCCTGCCTCAGCCTCCTGAGTAGCTGGGATTATAGGTGCAAGCCACCAAGCCTGGCCAATTTTTTGTATTTTTAGTAGAGACGAGGTTTCACCATGTTGGCCAGGTTGGTCTCGAATTCCTGACCTCAGGTGAACTGCCTGCCTCGGCCTCCTAAAGTGCTGGGATTACAGGGGTGAGCCACCATGCCCAGCCTTTCTGTCTCTTTCTTCTCTTTCTCTGGAACTTGGAGATGGACTGCCCCTCCTGTCCCCCTTTTTCCTCTTTTTTGGCACCTCTTTACCTGCCAGTCCTTTGAATGCTGGAATTTCCTCAGCGTGGAGCCAGCACTTCTCCTGTCACTCATCACTTCTCTTCCACTCCTGCAACTTCACCTCTCTCCGGGATTTTGAGGCCCACCCAAACCACAGTGTCTTTCTCCACTGCTCTCCTGAGCTGTGGATCCTAACTTCCTTCTGCCTTCTCAGCCTGTCCACATGGGCATCCCACAG
The DNA here is from genome assembly GCF_000001405.40 of Homo sapiens. Taxonomy (NCBI): domain Eukaryota; kingdom Metazoa; phylum Chordata; class Mammalia; order Primates; family Hominidae; genus Homo; species Homo sapiens. Next base: position 89,004,984 of record NC_000015.10, on the reverse strand, counting down.
ATACCTTCAATTTAACATCTCAAACCCAAATAACTTTCTTCCCACCCGCTCACCAACTCTTCCCCATATCCTGTGTCAGTAAAGGGCTTCACCTCCCAACCAGCCTCCCCAACACTACCAGGCCCTGCTTCTGCCCTCCGTGCCTCTGACCGGGCTGCTGCGCCTGCACCTGTTCCTGCCCTTCCACACCATGCAGTTGGCTTGATTCCTGTCCTTGTGCCTTGCAATCACTTCCCAGAGTGGGCCCTTTCTCTCCCACTGTATTCACTGTCTGCACATTTGTGGAAACTAGAGACAAGATGAGAAGGAGTGGGCAAAGGGAAAAGGTAGAAGGGAAGGGGAGGGGAGGGAACGGAAGGAGGAAGGGAGGGAGGGAAGAAGGGAAGGGGGAAGAAGGAAAGAAGGAAAGAAAAGACTCAAGGGATAGATACTTCCTGAAAGGGGAAAGGCTGCTGATAAGTCTTTGATCAATACACTTGTTTTTACATTGATGAAGTTGGGATAAATCATACTTAAGGACAACCTTAAAGAGGAAAAGAAATCAGCAAAGGATCACAGGCCTGCTGGGGGTTGTGTAAAACAGGAGAGGATGGGGCTCAGGGAGAGGAGGGCCAGGAGCGCGGGGATGAGTTCCAGCTCAGCGGTGTAAGGCTCCTAAGCACCAGCTGGGGGCACCCAGCTTCTCAGAGTCCTGCCTCACATCCCCATTGCACCCTGCAGCAGAAGCCGCAGAGACCCAGGGCCTTGCAGATCATAAGGATAGTTCTCGGCCTGGGAATACAGTAACACCTGGATTGGTTCTGGAGGTTGGGGGGTGGAGGGAGAGAGATTTATTGTAAGGCATGGGATGTCAGGGCTGAAATGTTTAGGGTAAGTCTGCACGCTGGACATCAGCAGGAGTCAGTGCTACAACCTTGAGGAGGTAACAACTCCCAAATCTCATGGCTTCTAACAACAATGGCTTGTTGCTTGCTCTCACGTTATATGTTGGTGGCTGCAGCTCTGCCCCTGTGACCTCTCATTCCAGGACTCAAGGTGAAGGAGGAGCCCCAGTCTGGAACTAGGTATCCCCGAGGCAGAGAGCAGGACAGCTGCAGGAAGCAACGCAATGGCGCTTGTGAAAGGAAAATAGAAACTCCGGACCCCAGTTCACTGTGCTGAAAGGGAAAAAAATTAAGCTGAAAGCTGCATCATGCAATCCACTGCCTTTCCTTTTGTTCCTAAGCAGGTAGCTACAGGTAAAAGGTTAGAAATCTCCACAGGTGGCCAGGCGCGGTGGCTCTCGCCTGTCCCTCAATTTGGGAGGCTGAGGCAGGTGAATCACGAGGTCAGGAGATGGAGACCATCCTGGCTAACATGGTGAAACCCCGTCTCTACGAAAAATACAAAAAATTAGCCAGGTGTGGTGGTGGCACACGCCTGTAGTCCCAGCTACTCAGGAGGCTGAGGTATGAGAATTGTTTGAACCTGGGAGGTGGAGGTTGCAGTGAGCTGAGATCGTTCTACTGTACTCCAGCCTGGTGACAGAGCAAGATTCCGTCTCAAAAAAAAAAAAAAAAAAAAAGAAAGAAAGAAAGAAAGGAATCTCCACAGGTAGCTACTGTGTTCACCTTATGTGAAGTCCTGATTACTGAGTGCCAGATGAATACATAATTACATAATTGACTGTCCCCTTCCTTGCTCCTTTTCTCTTGTAACATGTGAATTACTGTGCTGTCTTTTCCCTCCAGCCCACTTTCCCCTTTAAATATTGATACCTTCAAAATCATCTTTGGAGAAAGGCACTGACCTGTCTCTCAGGTGTGTCCTTAACTTTGGCAAAATAAGCTTCTCCATTGATTGAGACCTGTCTTGGATACTTTTTGGTGTACATGCTTAGAGCCTCTGCTCGGAGCTGGCCTGTGTCACCTCCACCATGTTTCATGGGCCATAATCACTCATGTGGCCAGGCCTGACAGGGCAGGAAAGGCACACTCTTTCCCCGGGAGGCACCACACATCTCATGGCTGGTGGGGATAAACAGTCTGCTTCTAGGAAGCGGGGCAGCGGATGACAGAAACCAGAATCTAATCCAATCGCCCACACCTGGTCAACTTTCTTTTCACAACTATAACTGGCCTTTTTAGCAGCATTATTTCATAAATGCAGCTGACAAGAAAGAAAGTCATTTTACACCGTGGAGTCCGTGGTAGAAGACCAGGCACTGGGATGAAAAGGTCAGCGCTGGGGTACAGGGCCCCCCTTTTCAGTTCATTCACGGTGCTCCTGCCGGGGTCAGGGGGTGGCCAAGCCCTCCTCAGGCCACTGGGATTCCCCTCACCTCAGGCTGCCCTCCCTCCCTGAGGTTATGGGTTCAGCCTGTCTGGGACCTTGGTGGTAGGGTTTTTTGGTGGTAGTCAGGCGTTTGCTTTTTTTCTCTAATAAACAAAGCAAGAGGTCAGTGGGATGAGCTGGCCACACTGTCTGAAGCAGGCGGAAGTGCTGTGGTTTCTGGCGACTGTAAACATCTGTGTGCAGGAGGTGGTGTGGGCAGATGTGCTGGCAGAGAGGAGGGCCACTCTGCAGAAGCCCCAGGCTCTGATATCTCTCTCTCCCTTGTTGTTTTGGCAAAAGAATCACATGGTTAAAATAGTAGAAGTTCAGATCAAAAATAGAACTAGATAGCCAGGGGCAGTGGCTCATGCCTGTAGTCCCAGCTACTCAGGAGCCTGAGGCAGGAGGATCATTTGAGCACAGGAGTTAAAGACCAGTCTGCACAACTTAGGGAGACCCTGTCTCTAAAAATAATAATAATAATAATAATAATAATAATAATAATAATAATAATAAAGATATAATCTGTGTACAGCACCCTTGACCCAACTAACTCCATCTTAGAAAAAGACTCCATTTTATATTTCACAGGGCACTTTGCCAACAAGGATAAGATATTTTGCTTAATAAGCAGAAAAAAAAAAAGATAAAGGCTGCATCCAACCAGATAAAGACACAAACAAGCACAACTCTTCCAACTGTCAGTTGTCACCAGAGAACTCTGTGACTCTAAAAGAGCAGGCCTGGCTGGGCACGGTGGCTCACACCTGTAATCTCAGCACTTTGGGAGGCTGAGGCGGATGAATCACGAGGTCAGGAGTTGGAGACCAGCCTGGCCAACATGGTGAAACCTCGCCTCTACTAAAAATACAAAAATTGGCCAGGCATGGTGGTGCATACCTGTAATCCCAGCTACTCAGGAAGCTGAGGCAGGACAATTGCTTGAACCTGAGGTTCCTTGTCTCATGGCCACAGAGATCAAGGATGCGGACACACAAAGAGTGAGGGGTTAAGAGTGGAAATTTAATCAGCAAAAGAAAGAGAATAGCTTTCTACTACAGAGAGGTGTCCTGAAAAAATGGGTTGCTGATCCATGGTGAAATGCAGGGGGGGTTATAGATGAGCTAGTGGGAAGGTGGTGTCTGATCTACATAGGGCATGAAAAACTGGTTGGGACCAAGTGTCCTACATCTGCCACCCACCTGCATAGGGTGTGAATCTCTGGCAGCCCCCACCCAGTCTTTTATTATGCAGGTGGGTTCCCTGCCTGAGCTGCGCCATGTTGCCCATTTCTTTCTTACTGTATACATGCTGACAAAAAACGGGAAGGTGGAGCTTCCACGGTGGACATGCTTGGCCCCCAGGTAGCCCTTTTCTATTGGTGCAGCTGCTGGCAATCCCCCATGCAAGCTTCCAGCTTTCTTATTTATGTTTGCAGCTTGATTTTTCAGGCTGCTCTTTGTTAGGGAAAAAAAATAATAATTTCTTGGGCTGCTTTTTGTTAGGAGAGGAGTTCTGCCAAGGACTCTTTTGCCCTATCTGCCTAAATAATTTCTATCTCCTGTGTCAACACCAGTGTCTTGACTGACACTTATCATGAGTGACAAGAACTCCACATCTGCACCCAAGGCCCTGCCGTCAAAAACTTTTTTTGTTTTTTGAGATGGAGTCTTGCACTGTTGCCCTGGCTGGAGTGCAATGGTGCGATTTCGGCTCACTGCAACCTCCGCCTCCCGGGTTCAAGCGATTTTCCTGCCTCAGCCTCCCAAGTAGCTGGGATTACAGGTGCCTGCCACCATACCCGGCTAATTTTTTGTATTTTTAGTAGAGACGGGGTTTCACTATGTTGGCCAGGCTGGTCTTGAACTCGTGACCTCGTGATCTACCCGCCTCGGCCTCCCAAAGTGCTGGGATTATAGGCATGAGCCACTGCGCCCTGCCAAAAACTGTTTCTTGCAAGACTGACTGATGGCCTGGCCCAGACCAGGACTCTTCACTCTACTTCGCTCCCCCTAGACTGGTTTGTTAACCTTTTCTCCTTTCTCTTTTTCCTCTTGATGTTAAATATGACTTTGTTTGTTGTGGCCTGTTTAACCTATAACATTTCTATATTAAGTATACTATTATGTATCGTTTGCAATATTGATGGACTTGTGGAATGGCTTGAGCCTGTGTGCCTGCGGCTCTGACTTCCAAGTGAACGGCAAGTACTGCCTCCTTGGGAACTCCCTGTAGCTCGTGGCTTTTGTGATGGAAACAGCATCAATAAAGGCCTGACATTATGGTGTGATCAGAAAATAAAAACTTGGGACCCCAATTCACTGTGCCAGAAGGAAAAAATTAAGCTGAAAGCTGAGTTATGCAGAAAGCTACAGAAAACAAACAAACAAACAAAAAGGTTAAATATCTGCACAAGGAGCTACTCTATGCTCACTTTATTTTTTATTTTTTTTTTTGAGATGGAGTTTTGCTCTTATTGCCCAGGCTGGAGTGCAATGGTACAATCTCGGCTCACTGCAACCTCCGCCTCCCGGATTCAAGTGATTCTCCTGCCTCAGTCTCCCACGTAGCTGGGATTACAGGCATGCACCACCACGCCCAGCTAATTTTGTATTTTTAGTAGAGACAAGTTTCTCCATGTTGGTCAGGCTGGTCTCGAACTCCTGACCTCAGGTGATCTGCCCACCTCGGCCTCCCAAAGTACTGGGATTGCAGGCGTGAGCCACTGTGCCCAGCTGCTCACCTTATCCTATGTAAAGTGCTGATTTGCTGAGTGCAAGATGAGTATATAATTGACTATTCTCCTACCTGCTCCTTTTCTCTTGCAACACGTAGACTCAGTAATGTGACCACACACTCCCCTTTCCCCTCCAGCCTGCTTTTCCCCTTTAAATAGGGAAACCCTCAAAATCATCTTTGGAGAAGGGCACATGAAACCACCTTTGCAAAAATTGTATCAGTGAGGAAAATTATAACAGTAAGCGAAGCTAACTGTTCAACCCCCATCTCGCCTTTCTCTGAATTTTTCCTGGGCTATTGGGCCACGATAACTTTGGAAGACATTTAGGCTATAGTTTAAATGATAATAGGCCTTGCCCCAAACTCAACTGCTTTTGTAAAGTTAATGGAAGGCCATCAGGTTCACTGGAGGGACCTGAGTCCTGCTAAGGCACAGACATAAAGGGATCAGCCATTATTCCGGAGGTTATAAGATGCAACTTCCCCAATTGCTCCTGCAAATAACACCACTATTGTAGATTGGCCTTTTGAGATATATTTCCAGTTTTTCTGTATGTCCGATGCCCATGGCTCCACCTGGACCGGATGGCTCCACCTGGACTGCCAACCCTGTTCCTGTGGCCCCACCCAGAAGAGATTCAGCCCACAGGAGAACTTCAACCCCTTATGATTTAATCCCCCCAACCAATCAGCAGCAAGTATCTGTTACTTGGCCACTCCCACCACTTCCCCTAAGCTGTCTTTGAAAAACCCCTAACCTGTGAGCTTAGGACAAGATGATTTGCATATGAACTCCCTCTCCCATGTGGTGAGGCTGGCCTCATGTCTATTAAACTCTTTCTCTACTACAATGCTGTGGTCTTTATGCAGCAGGCAGGAGGAACCCCTCGGGCAGTTACACACAGACCTGTCTCCCAGGTATGTCCTTAACCTTGGCAAAATACACTTCTAAGTTGAAGACCTGTCTTGGATACTTTTTGGTTTACAGTGGAAAGACACAAACATGCGTGGACCTGGTTATCGCTAACCTTACACCACTCATGACATAATCACAAAAGGCAAGATTTGAAAGAGACTCTGGAAACCAAGGTTTGCTGAAAAAACAGCTGACAAAAGGCAAATAGGAGAAAAGTCACACAAATTTATTTGGTCATAGTTTTATGTGACACAGGAAACTGCAAAATGAAGACCCAAGATACAGCAGAGTATGGAACCCCAAATATCTGAGGCAGATCTCAGTCGATTTATTTATTTATTGAGACATTCTCACTCTGTCGCCCAGGCTGGAGTGCAATGGCATGATCTCGGCTCACTGCAGCCTCCATCTCCTGAGTTCAAGAGATTCTCCTGCCTCAGCCTCCAGAGTAGCTAGAATTACAGGCGCCTGCCACGATGCCCGAATAATTTTTGAATTTTTAGTAGAGATGGGGTTTCACCATGTTGGTCAGACTGGTCTCGAACTCCTGAGGTCTCAGTCAATTTAGAACGTTTATTTTGCCAAGGTTAGGGAAGCACTCGTAACATAGCTTCAGGAGGTCCTGATGACATGTGCCCAAGGTGGTTGGGCACAGCTTGGTTCTAAGCATTTTAGGGAGACTTGAGACGTCAATCAATATATGTAAGATGTATTTAATACATTGGTTCAGTCTGGAAAGGCGGAACAACTCAGAGTTTTGTGTGTGGGGGGTGCTTCCAGATCATAGGTAGAAAAGACATAAACGGGTGCATTCTTTTGAGTATCTGATTAGCCTTTCACTGAATGCACAATTTACAGGAATATGCCTTAGTCTGGATTAGTGTGAAACAACAGGGCAAAGGAAGTCATCACATATGCATTTGTCCCATGTGAGCAGAGGGATGACTTTGAGTTCTGTCCTTTGTCCACAAGGAATTTCCTTGTGGGCAAATTGTGAAGGAGGTATGTAGCCTTTTTTTTTTAATTTTTATTTTTTTTATCTTTGTAGCTATCTTATTTAGGAATAGAATGAGAGGCAGGTTTGCCCAACGCTGTTCCAAACTTGACTTTTCCCTTTGGCTTAGTGATTTGGGGAAGATTTATCTTCCTTTCACAGGAGATTGTCCCTTTCTTTGCTTAGGTTCAACAAAGTATGGACAGCTGTATAGAAATATGATTGGACAAAAAGGGTGTGATGTAGTGCTAACAGCCCGAGTGGGGGAACCCAGCAAGGCCTGTTTGTGTAGATTCTTCTTGGCCTGTCTCTGCAGCAGTCCCTTTTTTTCTGGGTGTGGGGCAGGACTCTCTCCGGAATGGGGATCTTATGACCCACAGTCAAACAAGGTAGGTTAATTTCTTTATGACCAGTTTTTACACAGAAAGGGGGTGGGATTAGAGCAATATTTTGGGGTTTTATGGCTGGCTGTGGGGAAAAGGGGCTCTGATTCCTATGGCTCGCCTTGGGGAAAGGTTCTAGTTTCTATGGCTAGCCTGTGGGGGAACAAGGGGCCAGAGACAAAAGGGCAGAAGGTCATAGAAAAACTTATTTCTGGAGCTGCTTCTGAGACTTTCATCTTGGAGTATGGTATTGTGGGCCCCAACACACCTGTAGATGAAAAGAGTCAAACTCTGTAAAATATTTGAAGAGATTTATTCTGAGCCAAATATGAGTGACCATGGCCCAGGACACAGCCCTCAGGAAGCCCTGAGAACATATGTCCAAGGCGGTCGGGATGCAGCTTGGTTTTATACATTTCAGGGAGACATGAGACTTCAATCAAATACATTTAAGAAATACATTAGTTTGGTTCAGAAAGGTGGAAGTGGGGGCTTCCGGGCTATCGATAGATTTTAAAATTTTCTGGTTGACAATCGGTTTTTATCTAAAAATCCATCAGGATCAATAGAAAGGAAATGTCTGGGTTAAGATAAAGGATGGTAGAGACCAAATTCTTACTTGCAGAAGAAGCCTCCAGGTAGCAGGCTTCAGAAAGAATAGGTTGTAAATGCTTCTTATTAGACTTAAAGGTCTGTGTTGCTGTTAATATTGGAGAGGTATAATGAGGCATGTCCGATCCCTACTTCCCATCATGGCCTGACCCATCTCTCATGTTAAATTTTAAGAGCGATTTAGAATCCTTTGGGTATATACCCAGTATAGGGATGGCTGGGTCAAATGGTATTTCTGGTTCTAGATCCTTGAGGAATTGCCACACTATCTTCCACAATGGTTGAACTGATTTACACTCCCACCAACACGTATGTTTATTGCAGCACTATTTACAATAGCAAAGACTTGGAACCAATCTGAATGCCCATCAATGATAGACTGGATAAACAAAATGTGGCACATATACACCATCGAATACTATGCAGCCATAAAAAATGAATGAGTTCATGTCCTTTGCAGAGACATTGATGAAGCTGGAAACCATCATTCTCAGCAAACTAACACAGGAACAGAAAACCAAACACTGCATGTTCTCGCTCCTAAGCAGGAGTTGAACAATGAGAACACATGGACACAGGGAGGGGAATATCACACACCAGGGCCCGTCAGGGGGTCGGGGGCAAGGGAAGGGAGAGGGAGGGCATTAGGACAAATAGCTAATGTATGCGGGGCTTAAAACCTAGATGATGGACTGATAGGTGCAGCAAAGCAACATGGCACATGTATACCTATGTAACAACCCTGCACATTCTGTAAATATATCCCAGAACTTAAAGGAAAAAAAAGAAAAAGGCCGGGTGCAGTGGCTCACGCCTGTAATCCCAGCACTTTGGGAGGCTGAGATGGACAGATCACGAGTTCAAGAGATCGAGACCATCCTGCTAACACAGTGAAACCACATCTCTACTAAAAAAAAAAAAAAAAAAAATTAGCCGGGCATGGTGGCACGTGCCTGTAGTCCCAGCTACTTGGGAGGTTGAGGCAGGAGAATCACTTGAACCTGGGAGGCGGAGGTTGCAGTCAGCCGAGATCATGCCGCTGCACTCCAGCCTGGGCGACAGAGCAAGACTCCATCTCAGCAAAAAAAAAAAAAAAAGAAAAATTTAAGAGCGCCCTGGCCAAGGAGAAAGTCCATTCAGAGGGTTGGCGGGGTGGGGGGTGGGGGGCGCTTAGAATTTTATTTTTGGTTTATACACTTCATAAAAAGAAAACCTATGTATGTTAAGTGTGCAGTCCAAAGTCACTTAGGGAAAGCTGCATACACTGCATTCTGCCATCCCCAGTGCTCAGCACCCAGTGAGTATTGGGTAATGGGATAGATTCATCCATGAATCCTCGAGCTCCTGTACATTCCACTCCAGGGTTTCCAGCTGATAGGGCTCAGGCAGGGAAGCCTCCACAGCAGTGTAAAGGTCTTCAAGATCTGGGATTCCTTTTGTTCACTAGTCAGTGGGGAGGGACACCTTGAAGCCTCTCCTGGTTTGTATCTCCAGCTTTTCAAGGTAATGTCAGCCTAAAAGCTTCTTTAGATGTCCTGTGAACAATGTAAGATCCACAAGCGAGCCAAACAGAACACGTAACTGTTGGGCCCACAGATCTGACATTTCTTCTGGAAACGAGACTCCTGAGACTTTATTTTTTTGAGACAGGGTCTCGCTCTATCAAGCAGATGACTGCAGAGGCATGATCACGGCTCACTGCAGCCTCAAGGGATCCTCCTGCCTCAACCTCCCCAGTAGCTGGGACTACAGGTGTGCACCACCTTGCCCGGGTAATGTTTATATTTTTAGTAGAGATGAGATTTTGCCATGTTGGCCAGGCTGGTCTTTAACTCCTGAACTCAAGTGATCCTCCCACCTCAGCCTCCTAAAATGCTGGGATTACTGGTGTGAGCCACTGCACCCAGCTCGGTGCTGTAAACTTGGTCTGAGTTAAACTTCAGACTCTGGGATTCCACTTCAGAAGGAGGATACTTATAGATGTGAATGGAATTTGTAAAATGCCAAATTAGGCTGGGCACTGTGGCTCACGACTGTTAATCCCAGCACTATGGGAGGCCGAGGCAGGCAGATCACGAGGTCGAGTTCAAGACCAACCTAGCCAACATGGTGAAACCCTGTCTCTACTAAAAATACAAAAATTAGCTGGGCCTGGTGGTGCACACCTGTAATCCCAGCTACTCGGAAGGCTGAAGCAGGAGAATCGCTTGAACCCGGGAGGCGGAGGTTGCAGTGAGCTGAGATCGTGCCATTGCACTCCACCCTGGGCGACAGAGCGAGACTCCGTCTCAAAATATATATATATGCCAAATCAAATAGAATTCAACAGGTTGTGTTATCAGGGGCAAAGCCCACCTTTATTGAGCCCTCACTAATCTGTCATGGACTGTTCTGAATGTTAAAATTAAAAGAGTTCGTGTATTTAGAACAAACACTATGTGGTAGGTACTATGATGAAAACACTGGAGCACAGACAGAGTCAGTAACTTATCCCAGATCACACAGAAAGAAAGCAGCAGGAGCTGAGATTCAAGCCCAGGCAACTCACACTCTTGGCCCATAGCACACATTGCTACATAGTCTGTAGCAATGATCACTATTCACTGAGCATTTACTTTGCCTAGGACATGGAGCTAGTGTCTTAGAGCTACCTAATTTTATGTTGTCCTCAGCACAGTCCCTTCAGGTGAGAGGTATTATTCTCACTTATGCAGAGACTGAACAACTTACCCAGGGTCCTGGTGTGTCCGGAATATGGTTCCTTCCGGTGGGTTCGTGGTCTACGCTGACTTCAAGAATGAAGCTGCGGACCTTCGCCCTGAGTGTTACAGCTTAAAGTTGGCACGAACCTAAAGAGCAAAAGAACAAAGCTTCCACAGCATGGAAGGAGACCCAAGTGGGTTGCCTGCTGCAGGCTGGTGGTGTAGGGGGGTGTGGGGGTGGGGGCAGTTTTTATTCACTTATTTGTCCCTGCCCATGTCCTGCTGATTGGTCCATTTTACAAACCTGTAGCTAGTTACAGAAAAGTTCTCCAAGTCCCCACTTGACTCAGGAAGTCCAGCTGACTTCACCTCTCACCGGTGAATTGGTGGTGGGATTGGATTTGGACATGAGGTTGACTCCCAAATCCCTCCTCTCCCATATTCTTTCTGTTTTGTGAGAGGCAGGGTCTTGGTGTGTTGCCCAGGCTGGAGTGCAGTGGTGCGATATAGACTCACTGCAGCTTCGACCTCCTGGGCTCAGGCCATCCACCTCAGCCCCCGGAGTAGCTAGGATCACTAGCTAGCACCACTACACCTGGCTAATTTCACTTTTTTTTTTTTTTTTAGACACAGGGTCTCACTAAGTTGCCCGGGCTGATCTTGAACTGCTCAAGAGATCCTCCCACCTTGGCCTCCCAAAGTGCTGGGATTACAGGCATGAGCCACTATGCCAGGCTCTCTATATTCTATTTTTTTTGAGGCAGGATCTCACTTTGTCGCCCAGGCTGGAGTGCAGTGGCGCTATCACAGCTTACTGCAGCCTTAACTTACCAGGCTTGAACAATTTTCCCACCTCAGCCTCCTCAGTAGCTGGGACTACAGGTGCATGCCATCATACCTAGCTGATTTTTGTGTTTTTTGTAGAGATGGGGTTTCATCATGTTGCCCATGCTGATCTCAAACTCTTGAGCTTAAGCCGTCTGCCTGCCTCTCCCTTCCAAAGTGCTGGGATTACAGGTGTGAGCCACTGTGCCTGGCTCCTCCATATTCTTAAATGTTAATTGAGGAGAGCAAAAATCTCCTGGTGACCATCAAGCAGACCTCCGGAGACAAAAACCCCTGTCTCTGAGGAATTTAGACGTAATTAGGCTTCCCTATTATCTAAAGGCACCTGGTTCCAGGCCTCTTTTCAAGTTAAAATTAGTAAGTAACTAGAATTTCTATACATCTCTGGAATGCATGCATGCAGAACCCTTGCTGATATCAAGGCACCAAATGTCTAAAAATGTAATCATTTATCGTGCAAATTACCCTTCAGCTCCTGCTTTAGGTCCATAAATACCCCTGTGGAAAAGTCCGCTGTGATGCGCTCTGTCCTGTCTCGCTGAGGCCTCCACTGAACTCTGCTGCAGGGTTCCTTCTAACAAAACTTTCCTTTTTCTTTCTTTCTTTCTTTCTTTTTAAGATGGAGTTTCGCTGTTGTTGCCCAGGCTGGAGTGCAGTGGTGCGATCTTGGCTCACCGCAACCTCTGCCTCCCGGGTTCAAGTGCTTCTCCTGCCTCAGCCTCCCAAGTAGCTGGGATTACAGGCATGCACCACCACACCCGGCTAATTTAAAACTTTCCTTTTTCAAACTTATACTGTCAGTAAATTCTTCTTACTAACCCGCAAGTCGACCACTTTCCGAAGCCAGAGCTCTGACATGTCGCCTGGCATTAATAATTGTTGAAGGTGGATGATGGGTCCTGTATGGAGCCTAATGATCTGTTCAATCCATTGTAAAGGAAAAGAAAAATCTCAGAACCCCAAAACTCTTTGTACCAAAGTGAAGCCTGGAGACTGAGTCATGCAGTAACACCAACCTTTTCCCAAGCGGAGAGCTGCTGTTTCACAGGCTTGTGTTAAAGCATTATACATTAGCCAGACTCCCACAAGGAGACGAAAAGTCTCACGACTGCCCTCACAAATTGCTCATAAATTCTTTGCTGGCCCCTAAACCTTTCAAGATATATAGATCCTCCCATAAAACAAGCACATATTAAGTATAACTTTAGGTTTGTAACCTAAGCCTAACCCCTAAAACTAAAGTCTGTTAGATTTTTCACACTGAGAAGTTCGATTACAAACTCACCTCCTAACTCCCTCTTCCTAGGTGTCTTCTTCCCTTTAAAGACATTTGTAAATTCTGAAAACTGCTTCTAAGAGCATGGGCCACAGATGTTTCTGTGGCCTGTTTCTCCTGGGTGTGACCTCAAACTCTCACTCAACAAATCTCGATGAACTGAGACCCCTGGCTCAGTCTCTAATTTTGGGTTAACACTGTCTTAGTTCTGAAGTGGAATATCTGGCTGGGTTTAGGAACCAAATTAAATACAAGAAAGATTAACAAGAGAAAAGCATTCAAGTTTTTTGTTGTTTGTTTGTTGTTTTTGAGACGGAGTCTAGCTCTGTCACCGAGGCTGGAGTTCAGTGGTGTGATCACAGCTCACGGCAGCCTCAAATTCCTGGGCTCAAGGAATCCTCCCACCTTAACCTCCCGAGCAGCTGGGACTACAGGCATGCCATACCCAGCTAGTATTTACATTTTTTGTAGAGAGAGTCTCCCTATGTTGCCCAGGCTGGTCTTGATCTCCCAGGCTAAAGCGATCCTCCTGTCTTGGCCTTCCAAAGTGCTGGGATTACAGGCGTGAGCCACCAAGCCCAGCTACAAGTTTTATTAATTTTACATACACATGAGGATCTTCACAAGAGAGTGAAGACCTAAGAAATGACCAAAGCAGAAAGCCTTTTGGACAAAGAATGATCAGTTTTATGAAGGCACTGGGAGAACAGGGGTGTGGGGGGGAGAATGGGCTGGAGCCATGGGAAGTTTGCGCCCTTTGCAGGGGAGAGGAACCTGGCCTCTCCTGTTCCTGGGTGGTAACCTGGGATTCAATCTGTGAGGCGGGAAGCCTGCTAGCAGGACTCTTGCTTTGCTAAGAATCCCTGTTCCCTTTTTTTTGTTGTTCCTTTTCACCCAATAAATCCTACCCTTCTCACCCTTCAAAGTGTCTGTGAGCCTGTCATGACTGTGAGAAAAGAACCCAGTTTTTTCCACAACACTAATGAGAGACCACTGGATGTGTAGACATAAATGACTGCAGCCATTATTCTGGAGGTCATGAGATATGCCAATTCCAGCCAGATACGGTGACTCACACCTGTAATCCCAGGACTTTGGGAGGCTAAGGCAGGAGGATCTCTTGACCCCAGGAGTTTGAGACTAGCCTGGGCAATATACTGAGACCTTGTCTCTATTTATTTAAAAAAAAATTATTTTACACAAAGATATGGGTTGGGCGCAGTGGCTCATGCCTGTAATCCCAACACTTTGGGAGGCTGAGACGAGAGGATCACTTGAGGTCAGGAGTTCCAGACCAGCCTGGCCAACATGGTGAAACCCCATCTCTACTAAAAATATAAAAATTAGCCAGGCATGGTAGCACACACCTGTAATCCCAGCTACTCGGGAGGCTGAGGTGGGAGAATGGCTTGAACCCGGGAGGCAGAGGTTGCAGTGAGCCGAGATAGTACCACTGCAGTCCAGCCTGGCAGCAGAGCAGAACAAAAAAAAAAAAAGAGAGAGAAGAAAAGAAAAAAAAGCTATGCAAATTTCCCAGTTATTCCTGCAGATAACATCATTATGACAGAACCTAAGATTGGCCTTTTGAGATGTCTTGTTGCATTTCTGACAACCGATGACTCCACGAGGACCGGCCAGCTGCTCCTGTGGCCCCACCCAGAAGCAACTCACTACACGAAGACCATTTTCCACACCCCTATGATTGCACCCCGAGCCAATCAGCAGCAAGCACCCATTGCCCAGCCACCCGCCCTTCCCCCAAACTGTCCTCGAAAAACCTCAGCCTCCAATTTTTGAGGAGGCTGATTTAAGTAATAATAAAACTCCGGGGGTGGTGCGCGGCGCCGAGCACCGCACGGAAAGGGGTAAGTCACGTGGCCACTGCCCCCGCCCCCGCCACAGTTTGTTGCTAGAAGGAAGATGGCGGGTCTGGAGGAGGAGCTGTCTGATGAAGAGAAGGGAAAAAGCAGCCCGTGCGTCTGCACAGTATAACTTGGAGCAGTTTACTCCTGTAAAAATGGAAGGTTATGAAGATCAGGTATTGATGACAAAACATGGCGACTTGGGAAATGGAAAGTTTTAGGATCCAAAGAACAGAATCTGTTTTAAATTTGATCACTTAAGAAAGGAGGCAACTGATCCAAGACCCTGTGAAGTAGAAAATGCAATTGAATCATGGAGAACTTAAGTAGAAACTACTCTGTGAGCTTACGTAAAAGAACATTACCCGAATGGAGTCTGCACTGCGTATAGCAAAAAAAAAAAATAGATGGACAGCAAACCACTATTGCATGCATAGAAAGCCATCAGTTCCAAGCAAAAAACTTTTGGAATGGTCATTGGAGGTCAGAATGGAGGTTTATAATCACTCCTTCAACCACTCAAGTGGTTGGCATCTTGAAAATTCAGGTTCATTATTATGAAGACAGTAATGTTCAGCTAGTGAGTCATAAAGATATACAAGATTCCCTAACAGTGTCTAATGAAGTGCAAACAGCAAAAGAATCTACAAAGATTGTAAAAGCTGCAGAAAATGAATACCAGACTGCCATTAGTGAGAATTATCAGACAATGTCGGACACTACTTTCAAAGCCTTACATCGACAATTGCTACTTACACGCACTAAGATTGATTGGAACAAGATCCTTAGCTACGAGGTTGGCAAAGAGATGCAGAATGCATAAGATGGACATTGCATGACCCCATCATTTTAGTGTCTTTGCGTTAAAAAACTATTGCAAAAGTATTCTGAACTGTCAAGCTGCCCAGTCTGATGGGCTGTTGCCATTTTAAATCACTGTAATTAGTTTGATTAGAGCACAAAGCTTAGCTAATCCACCATTATTTTTCATTTTGTTCTAAGAGGATTGAAAATCAGTTTAGTTTAAATGTCTTACTTTCTGTTAGTCCTTTCTTTCGTACAATGAAGAGATGATTCTCTAGTTTATGGTTAAAAGTTTTTGAAGTGTTTCAAAAATATTTTACTTACTGTAACCCTAAAATTGTTATCTTTTGGTTTATGAAATGGTTAATTTTTGATATTTCCCCAGTTAGTGTTTGATGGATTTAGCCATATAGGCTGCTAAAGAAATTGTCTACCTTTTCTTCCTCACCTGTTCCATTTATGTAAGGTTGAGATTAGAGGGAAAACATTTTCTATATCAATTGTGTTTTTAAACCTTTCAAGAAGGTTATTTAGCTTAGTATTTAACTTAATTTTTTTTAAACAAGGCAAGGTCTAATGCTGTTTTGAGATTCTGAAATTAAATGAAAATACTTATTTCAGAAATGCATTTAATGCTTTTTTTCTTGTGACAGTTACGCAAATCAGCTTGAATTCCATATGTCCCTGAGTTATTTTTATCATAAAGCCACAAATGTATTATAACAAGGCAAATTGTAATATATATAATCCTGAACTCAAAAAGAAAAAAGAAAAAAAACTCCGATCTTCTGTGTAGCCGGCCCTACGTCTATAAAATTCTTTCTCTATTGCAATTCCCCTGCCTTGATAAATCTACTCTATCTAAGCAGCAGGCAAGAAGAACCCATGGGGAGGTGACAAAAGGGTGGCTCAGAAGGTCCTATCTTATCTACAACTGCTGCTTCTCAGATGCTTTCGGCTTGAAATAATCAATATGCCAGGTCAGGGTATTTTGGGGTGTTATGTCCTTAACTCCTTTGGTCCAAAGAGTTGATTTTACTAATCATTCTCCTTGTGTGTATTTGAAAATTGCCTTCAAAACAAAACCCATGCCTTAACCACTGTGTGGTCCCAACTTAGCAGGTTACTGTAGGTTTCTGAGATGGGTGGGGGAAGGGAAAGGAGGGGGAGGGTTGAACTTGGGTTAGCCAAATTCCTCAAACGTTTGTAGCTGTAGAACCCCTTTTGTTTTATTTGAAGCATTTTTAAGAGACTAGTAATCGAAGACCTTTCTTTGGGAAGCTGATGTCTCACTCCCTGGGAGGATGCTCAGCCTTGCCTGGCCTGGTGCCCTCAGAGAGCTGCCTTCTGTGGCTCTTGCGCTGGGGTCGGTAACAGCAGGAAGCCTGTTGACAGGTAACAGCAAGAGAACAGGGGCGGGGGTGCTGGGTCTGGGGAGAGGGCTCTCAGCGACCTGCTTATAGCTACAGGAACCTTCCAAGCAAGCACAGAGGAGACCTCTCTGAGTAGTGGCCTGGGAGGAGCAGGCAGGCCCCTGGGCAAGGGAATGGGTGGTTACAGCACTTCCAGGTCACTGCAGAAGACAGAAGGGGAACACGGCAAGTCAGGCTGGGACTTGAAATTTCCTGAGTTCATTATGCTAATTTATCTTTGTACACTTTCCCACACAGCAGCTCACTCCATCTCCACAACGCTTCAGGAAGTGGGCAACGTGGATGCTGCGCCTCCCAGTTTTCAGCACTGAGGGGAGAGTTTCTGTGACTTGTCAAGGTCACACAATCAAAGGTCACAGAAGGGAGGGCACCATGGGAGCCCAGGATGTCCATGCTCTTTCTACTCTGTCACTCAGCATCGGCGGGTTTGGAATCTTTAATTTTGGGGGATCCATTTGGTCTAGAAAGTGTGGGTGCGGCCTGAGGTTGCCTGGGAGAGGCAGACAAAGCCGGCTGAGTGCCCCTGGGAGGGGGGTGCCTCATGCAAGCTGTGCAATGCCTCAGACAGGAGCGGGAGTGCCTCATGCAGGCTGTGCAATGCCCCAACAGTAGAGGGGGTGCCTCATGCAGGCTGTGCAATGCCTCAGACAGGAGAGGGGGGTGCCTCATGCAGGCTGTGCAATGCCCCAACAGGAGAGGGGGTGCCTCATGCAGGGTCTGGTTTAGGAGGCAAGAGGCTGGATTCATGAACTGTGAGCGAGGGAATTGAATGTGGAGGAGGGGGCCTGAGTCCGGGAGGGGCAGAGAGCAGATCCAGGAAAGGGTTCCTGTGCCTTGGAGTCCTGATGGGCCAGATGCGTCCCCGGTCTGAGCCCAGCCTGCAGTGCAGGCCCAGCTGGGTGGAGGCACCGCCCCGTGAAGACACCACCCCGGGGCTCCAGGCTGATTCAGACCCTGGACGCCCCTTTACCGGGTCCTCACCTCCCACATGCCATCAGCTGCTGCTCCCTCTGGTATTGTTTACTTCTCTCTGGGTTTATTTACTCAGTCCCCAACCCCCTCATTATTGCCTTGTGTTATCACCCAGAGTTTTACCGTGAGTAAAACCTACCTGTTTTGTTTCTTTGTTTCACAACTTTCTTAAAAGTGAAAATAAAAATAAGAAAGAAGTCATTTGGATGTTTACAAAAAAACAAAACAAAACAAAACAGAAACAAGGTGGGCTCCTATCACCTTGGCTTGGAAAGGGGTGGGCACCAGTTACACTCCCGAGAGGCAGGAGCAGAGCTGTGACTCCAGCTTGATTAGTTTACCATGGTAAAGTGTGCATAATGTAAAATTCATCATTTTAATCATTTTAATTTATTACTTATTTATTTTTAGAGACAGGGTCTCTCTCGCCCAGGCTGGAGTGCAGTTGCATGATCATAGCTCACTGTAGCTTCAAACTCCTGGGCTCAAGCAATCCTCCCACTTCAGCCTCCTGAGTAGCTGGGACTACAGGAGGGGACCACTGTGGCAGGCCAGGTCTCACTAACGCAGGCTTCCAGCGCAGCTGTTTCAGTACTGACTGAGTGGTTAGGTTAAATATTAAAAGCTGAAGAAAAGCCAGTACCCTTATACAAATGATACAGGAGTTATTAAGAAATAATTTTTAGGCAGATAGTAAGTGCAAAGGTTCTTGGTGGAAATTTTCTTGTAATAAGAAACAACCCCTGAACCATCTCTTTTCTAACAGAAAAGGTGGCTCGAAGGGCTGGGCCAGCAAGCTTTAATATGCAAATGCCAGCCATTAGAAACTGGGCTCACTCAATATGGCGATTCCCACCATCTTCTCCTTGTAACCGGGAGTACCAAGTGTCATGGCCACCTCCAGATAACACCATGTGTTCGGAATATCATGGCGACCCGCATTTGCATATTAGAGGACTAAGGTGGGAGGGCCAGGTTTTTTGAGGGCTGTGTAAATGACTCACCTGGTCCAACCAATCCCCTGGGTCTTATGGAAACCAGACACCACCTCCTCCAGCATCGCAACATAAGCAACCACTTTTCTGCCACACATGGGGTTTTCTTTTTGTTGGAATCCCCCCTCCCTCTGTCTCTGTATGGGGGAGTTTTCCTCTTCCTTCCTTCTTTCTTGCCTGTTAAACTTTTCGTGCCTTAAAGTCACTCCACGTGTGTCCATGTCGTTAATCCTATCAGTGTGAGACAGAAGACGCTGGTGTTCCTCCAGTCATCGGAACCGTATCACAAAGGCTGGAATGTAACAAAAGCCCACCAAGAGTTTTGCCTAGGCCTTTTCTGGGCCTTAAAGCATGACAAAATAATGAAGGAATTCTTAACAGGACCCATTTAGAATTAAACAAGTTTTATTGGGGTTCTGAAGAAACTCCCCAGGCCTCCACAAACATGGTTATTGGAGGTCTGAAGGAACTCCTCAAACCTCCATGATTTAGCAGGAGACAAGATAAGGGTAATCACCCCAGCACAGCACCCAGACCCATTTAGATTAACTTACTGAGGCTCCTGAAGAAGGTCTTCCGGACTCAGACCTTAGTTGTAGAGTAAAAGAAGTTAATCACTTATGTCTTTAGATGAATGCACACTTCCACACGGACATAGAGCTTAGAAGGTATATAAGCTCTGAAAAACTCTGTAGTTTTGAGTTGGTCTGGTGATAATTTCCAGGCCTTCTTTCTGTAACGGGTTACAGAAATAAAAACTCTCTTCCTCCCCAGTTCATCTGCATCTCATTACTGGGCCTCGAGAAATAGCAGACTGACCCTCAGTTTGGTCCAGGAACACCGCCATGCCCAGCTAATTTTATTTTTTAAAATTTTTGGTAGAGGCTGAGTCTCACTATGTCGCCCAGGCTGGTCTCCAACTCCTGGCCTCAAGGCATCCTCCTGCTTTGTACTCCCAAAACACTGGATTATAGGCATGAGCCATCATACCCAGTCATGCCATTTAACCATTTTAAGTGTATAACTCAGTAGCACTTAGTACATTCACAATTTTGTGCAAACTTACCCACTATCTAGTTCCAGCATATTCCATCATTCCAACATTCCAAATGGAAATCTTTCTACCTATGAAGCCGTCATTCCCCACTCCCCTTTTCCCCTACCCCCTGCAACCACCAATCTATTTTCTGTCTCTACAGATTTGCCTAGTCTGGGTATTTCATATAAATGGCATCATACGGCTGGGTGCGGTGGCTCACGCCTGTAATCCCAGCACTTTGAGAGGCCGAGGCAGGTGGATCAGGAGGTCAGGAGATCGAAACCATCCTGGCCAAAATGGTGAAACCCCGTCTCTACTAAAAATGCAGAAATTAGCCAGGCATGGTGGTGGTACCTGTAGTCCCAGCTACTACAGAGGCTGAGGCAGGAGAATCACTTGAACCCAGGGCGTGGGGGTTGCGGTGGGCTGAGATGGTGCCACTGCACTCCTACCTGGGTGACAGAGTGAGACTCCATCTCAAAAACAAATTAAAAAATAAATAAATGGCATTATACAATATAAGGCCTTTTGTATCTGTCTTCTTTCACTTAGCAGAATGTTTCTTAGGTTGGTTCATGTTGTAGCATGTAGTACTTCATTCCTTTTTATGACTGAATAATATTTCATTGCATGGATATTCCACTTTTATCCATTTATTGGTTGGTGACATCTAGTTGTTTCTACCTTTTGGCTATTGTGAAGAATGTTGCTGTGAACATTTGTGTATACGTTTTTGTTCGAACACTTGTTTTCAGTTCTTAGGAGTTGAATACCTGGGAGTGGAATTGCTGGATTACGCCGCTAATTCTATGATTAACTTAGGAACATTGGTTTGATTTTAGTTGCGTAACTCAGATTCTAATTTTATGTCACCATGCCTCAGTTTCCCTATAGGAGAGGGTGCAGAGGTGTCAGGTCAGACTGGTACCAGAGCCTGCCAGGCAAGGGCCACCTGCAAGGATAGAGAGACTGTGTCTCCCATTGTGCTAGTTCTCCCCTTCTTGTTCCCTGGCTGCTAGGAATGTGCATGATAATGACCAGCATGGATTCAGTGCTTACCAAGTTCCAGACGCCATTCCCAATGGGAAGTGTGAATGAAATGGCACTTGTCCTTTTACCTGAAATCCTTCCTCATGGCACTCTCATCCATTTTATTTCATTTTTATTTATTTATTTATTTAGAGACAGGGTCTTGCCCTGTCGCCTAGGCTGGAGCACAGTGGCACGATCACGGCTCACTGCAGCCTCAACTTCCTGGGCTCAAGCAATCCTCCAGCTTCAGCCTTCTGAGTACCTGGGACTACAGGCATGCACCATCACACTCGGCTAATTTTTAAATTTTTTATAGATACGGGATCTCGTTATGTTCCTCAGGCTGGTCCTGACCTCCTGGGCTCAGGCGATCTTCTTGTCTTGGCCTCCCAAAATGCTGGGATTACTGGTATGAGCCACTGTGCCCAGCCCTTCATCTATTTGAATATTATTTCAGTCATTTCATCAAATGTCCAGGTGTGTATGGAATGGCGAGGTTATGTAACAAGGTTTGGCTTCCTGTGTCCCAGACCCCCTTAGTCACTCTTGTGGGAACGCTCTTGTGTCTGGGACCCCAGGACTTATGGGAGGGGCAATATGATATAGTGACTATGCTACCTCCTGGCTGTGTGACCTCGGCCAAATTCCTTAACTGCCTATACCTGAGTTCTCCATCTATCAAATAAGAGCACTTTTTAAAATAGGGTTGTTGTGAGGATAGAAGTTAGTACACGTAACAGAGAGGTCCATGTTCTAACCCCAAAACCTGTGAATGTCACCTTATTTGGGAAAAGAGTCTTTGCAGATGTAATTAAGTCAGGGATCTTGAGATAAGGAGATCATCTTGGATTATCCAAGTGGGCCCTAAATCCAATGACAATGACAGGGGCAGAAGAGGAGGAGACATGCAGGGAGGAGGAGACATGCAGGGAGGAGGAGGTTGGAGTGAGGCAGCCACACACCAAAGAACACCTGGGGCCACCAGGAGCTAGAAGGGTCAAGGAAGGAGTCTCCTCTTGAGCCTTTGGAGGGAGCTTGGCCCAGCCAAATACCTTTTCAGGTTCCGGTTTCCAGAACTGTGAGAAAATAAGTTCTTGTTGTTTTAAGCCACCCAGTGTCTGG
This sequence comes from Homo sapiens, assembly GCF_000001405.40. Lineage (NCBI taxonomy): Eukaryota > Metazoa > Chordata > Mammalia > Primates > Hominidae > Homo > Homo sapiens. The sequence continues at coordinate 88,982,944 of NC_000015.10, read as the reverse complement.
CAATTTATTACAGCATCCACAGGAAACTAATACAATGCTTAAAGCAGGACTCTTCTTAAGGAAGTGAGAGTGAGCTGCTATTATGTTAGGGTTAGCTATGATTTTGCTCTCTGAGCTGTGTCAACCACAGCCCAGAGAGTGCTGGGCCACAGGAACCTCTGGGCCGTATGCTGGGACTACAGGTGGCTCTGGGCTCTCTGCAGCTTTTTAAATGGTCACTCAGGCTCCCACGCCTAGTGGATACTTCCTCTCCTGAGGATTGACTCAGAATTTCAGAAGACCTCTGGACTCAGGCCAGTTCCCACAGCATCATGGAATATCTGGCTACAGGGAGTCCTCCTGGGAGCTCTAGCAGGGGCCTGGGGCTGGGGCTGCGGCTGCAGCTCTAGCAACCTTCAGGGACAGTGGGGCTGTCCATCCTACACTGCCCCGTGCCAGAAGGTCTGTTCTGACCCAGTGTGCCCTGTCCCCTTAGATGCAGTGCCAGAGCCATCTGATTCAGGGCCGTCACCCTTGTCTAGAGCCAGCTTATCTGATGCCAGGTCAGAAGGCCTCGGCAGGAAATGCTGCCTCCCACTTTGTTCTTTTTTTTTTTTTTTTTTGAGCTGGAGTTTCGCTCTTGTTGCCCAAGCTGGAGTGCAATGGCGTGATCTTGGCTCACTGCAACCTCCGCCTCCCAGGTTCAAGCAATTCTCCTGCCTCAGCCCCCCGAGTAACTGGAATTACAGGCATGCACCACCACGCCCAGCTAATTTTGTATTTTTAGTAGAGATGGGTTTTCTCCATGTTGATCAGACTGGTCTCAAACTCCCGACCTCAGGTGATCCACCCACCTCGGCCTCCAAAAGTGCTAGGATTACAGGTGTGAGCCACCGCGCCTGGCCCCACTTTGTTCTTGAGGAAGGATCAGGCTGAAATTCTAGGAATTTCCAAATGGACTGGGTTGGCTGGAGGGAAGAGGAAGTTAAAGGAATGTGAGGCTCAGGACTTGGGGTCTAGCTGGGAAGATGGTGAATCCCTCTTCAGTCCAGTGAGTGAGAAGCCCCTTCTGGCTTCCAGCACTTCGACAGGAGCCGCACAGGATGCCAAAGGTCCGTTTATTCCTGTTCTCCGCAGGGTCTGCCCTCTCAGGATTTCAAAGCATTTATAGTGTCTCAATCATTGTGTTTGCTCAGTGGATGGATCACTGCTTTTAAGACATCAAGTAAAAATGTAAAGAGCCTAACAATGGTTAGTGAGTCATTTTATAACTAGAATTATTACCCACTGGCTTATTCTCGCTTCCAAAATTTGGGTTTTTGTAAATTGAGTTTTCTGAAGTGGTTACGTATTTAAAAGGAAAAAAAGGAGAAAAATAAATTCTGCAGTCATACGTTCCAAAGAAGTAGCTACTATATATTATTCGGGACTTTCTATGTGCCAGAAACTATTTCATTGATTGATTGATGGAGACAAGGTCTTCCTCTGTCGCCCAGGCTGGAATGCAGTGGTATGACCATGGCTCAGTGCAGCCTCAATCTCCCAGGCTCAAGCAATCCTCCCACCTCAGCCTCCTGAGTAGCTGGGACTACAGGCTCATGCCACCACTCCCGGCTCCTTTTTAAATTTTTTATAGAGATAGAGTCTTGCTATGTTACCAGGACTGGTCTTGAACTCCTGGGCTCAAGCAATCCTCCCACCTCAGCCTCTCAAAGTGTTGGGATTACAGGCATGAGCCATCATGCCCAACTCAGGCACTATTTTAAATCATTAAATATATTATCTCTTTTAATCTTTATAGTTACTCTGTGTGATAAGCATGATCATGCATCACTTAACAACAGGGATATGCTCTTTGAAATGCATCATTAGGTGATTTCTTTGTTGTGAGAACATCATAGAGTGTCCTACACAAACGTAGATGGCATGGCCTACTACACACCTAGGCTATATGGTGTAACCTATTGCTCCTAGGCTACAAACCTGTATAGCATGTTACTGTACTGAATACTGTAGGCAATTGTAACACAATGGTAAGTTTTGTGTATCTAAACATGTCTAAACATAGAAAAGGTACAGTAAAAATACTGTAAAAAAGATTAAAAATGGGCCCGGCGTGATGGCTCCTGACTGTAATCCTAGTGCTTTGGGAGGCCAAGGCAGAAGGAATGCTCGAGGCCAGGAGTTCAAGATTAGCCTGGGCAACATAGTGAGACCCCGTCCCTAAAATTTTTAAAAAAAATTAGCCAGGCCTGATGGCATGTACCTGTAGTCCTAGCTTCTTGGGAGGCTGAGGAAGGATGATCACTTGAGACTAGGAGTTTGAGATCAGCCTGGGCAACACAGCAAGACCCCATCTCAAAAAAGAAAAGAAAAAAATGGTATGGTATACATATGGTACATGTATATAGGGCACTTACCATGAATGGAGTTTGCAGGACTAGAAGTTGCTCTGAGTGAGTTCATCAGTAAACAGTGAGTGAATATGAAGGCCTAGGACATTACTATACATGTTTGTATGACTACAGCACAGTGGGTTTGTTTACACCAGCATCACCCCAAACATACAAGTAATATGTTGTGCTATCACCCTCAACATGTGAATAATGTCAGCAGCTATAATGTCACTAGGTGATAGGAATTTTAAGTTCCATTATAATTTTTTTTTTTTGAGACGGAATTTTGCTCTTGTTGCCCAGGCTGGAGTGCAATGGTGCACTCTTGGCTCACCGCAACCCAGGTTCAAGCGATTCTCGTGTCTCAGCCTCCTGAGTAGCTGGGATTACAGGCATGCACCACCATGCCCAGCTAATTTTGTATTTTTAGTTGTGGGGGTTCAGTCAGGTTGGTGGGGAAAATTATAAGCCACAAACCTTCTTGGAAGGCCTGAAGGTTTTTGCAAAAGTCTCAGGATAAGGTTATGGCTGAAGGCAACCTAATTCTTACCTTGAGTAAATAGCTTAAAGTGGGTACAAAGGAAGGTAGAGTAGTTTATCTAACTAGCTTGTTTATTCATGTGGTCTTAAGACCAACCTTTGATCATTCACCGGTGCGTGGTAGCTCCCTCCAGGGTGGGGGCGACCAGGTTAATTACTTACCCACAGGTGTGTTTACTCACGACCTTTCTCAATTAATCCTTACTGAATGCAAGTCTCGCTGATAAGTCGAGGCCATGGCTGCTGACTCTGTACAGAACCTTCCTTGGTGTCTGTAAGTGGCACGGACACTCAGCCGGATTGGCAAAGCAGAATATCTATATGTCAATGTACATTATTCATCCATTGTTGGGTCAGGGTCTGCAGGACAGACCCCCGCATTTAGTAGAGATGGGGTTTTTCCATATTGGTCAGGCTGGTCTCGAACTCCCGACCTCAGGTGATCCACCTGCCTCGACCTCCCAAAATGCTGGGATTACAGGAGGGACCCACCGCACCTGGCCCCATTATAATCTTATGGGACCACTGTCATATATGCAATCCATTGTTTACTGAAATGCTGTTTGTGACACATGATGTACTATTATTATTATTATTATTATTATTATTGTTGTTGAAACAGGGTCTCACTTTGTCACCCAGCCTGGAATGCAGTTGCACAAACATGGCTCACTGCCGCCTCGACCTCCTGGGCTCAAGTGATCCTCTTGCCTCAGCCCCCCACAAGTAGCTTGGACTACAGGTGTGCACCACCATGCCCAGCTAATTTTGTTTTTTGTATTTTTTTGTAGAGACAGGGCTTTGTCATTTTGCCCAGGCTGGTCTCAAGCTCCCGAGTTCAAGTGATCCACCCGCCTCAGCCTCTCAAATTTTGGGATTACAGGTGTGAGCCACTGCACCTGGCCTGACTGTACTGTTATTTTACCCCCTTCTTAGGGATGGATCCAGGTTTTATGAAGCTTATAAAATAGAGACGGCCAGGCATGGTGGCTTATGCCTGTAATCTCAGCACTTTGAGAGGCCAAGGCTGTAGGATCACTTGAGCCTAGGAGTTCTAGATCAGCCTGGGCAACACAGTGAGACCCCCGTCTCTACAAAAAATAAAAAATTAGCCAGGCGTGGTGGTGCATGCCTGTACTCCTAGCTAAATTTGGGAGGCTGAGATGGGAGGATCACTTGAGCCTAGGAGTTCGATCATAGTGTGAGCTATGATCACGCCACTGCACTCCAGCCTGGGTGACAGAATGAGACTCTCTTAAAAAAAAAAAATTCAGAGGACTTTCTTTAAAAGATTAAATTGCAGTGATACAGTTATAATACAAAATTAGGTAGAGAGCCTTAGCAAGTAAGTAGTCCCAAAGCTTAAGCTTCATTAGCTTCATGGCCTGATTTGAGGATGGAGAAAATTAGTTTAGAAGAATCTAAGTTTTTTTGTCCAAGGTCACACAGCTCAGAATCAGTGGAGAGGGAATTGAAAGCCAGGTCTGCCCAACTTTTCATCAGCAAATTACCCTTCTCTGAAAACGGGAATAACACATATATAGCATTCACTATGTGCCACACACATAGGAAGCACTTTACATATTTTAAATAGTTAATTTTCACAACACGCTATTATGTAGGTATTATTTTCATCCTCCACTTTTATATATGAGGACATCGAGGCACGGAGTGGTTAAGTATTAATAACTTGCCCAAGCTCTCACAGCTAATTGATGGGAACCATAAGAAACAATGAGAACTGGTTTGCTGAGGCATCCTGTTTGAGTTTGTAGTAAACAGAAACTAGAAGATGCACCCTGAGCCTCATAAAAGGCAACTTGAGCCTGAACCTCTGCTTTATGGCTTCTTTAAGATCTTACTTTCTAATCCCAACCAAATCCTTGGCTCTCAGCCTGCCTCTGTGAGAGCTTTGTCAGGTAATTTGGTTCATATAATTAGGATTTAAAGGAGAATGAGAGGTCGGGTGCCGTGGCTCATGCCTGTAATCCCAATACTTTGGGAGACCAAGGTGGCAGGATCACTTGAGACCAGGAGTTCAAGACCAGCCTAGACAACATAGGGAGACCCTGTCTCTACAGAAAAAAAAAAAAAAAAATTAGCTGAGCATGGTGGTGTGCACTTGTAGTCCCAGCTACTCAGGAGGCTGAGGTGGGGAGATTGCATAAGCCTGGTAGGTCCAGGCTGCAGTGAGCTGTGATGGTGCCACTGCACCCTCACCTGGGTGGCAGAGCAAGACTCTTGTCTCAAATAAATAAATCAATACATAAAAATAAAAGAGAATGGACCAGGTGTGGTGGCTCACGCCTGTAATCCCAGCCCTTTGGGAGGCCGAGACAGGCAGATCACCTGAGTTCAGGAGTTCGAGACCAGCCTGACCAAAATGGAGAAACCCTGTCTCTACTAAAAATACAAAATTAGTCGGGTGTGGTGGTGCATGTCTGTAATCCCAACTACTCAGGAGGCTGAGGCAGGAGAATCTCTTGAATCCAGGAGGCGGAGGTTGCAGTGAGCTGAGATGGAGCCATTGCATTCCAGCCTGGGCGACAACAGCGAAACTCCGTCTCAAAAAAAATAAAATAAAATAAAATAAAATAAAAGAGAATGAATTGTACCCTAAAAAGATAGGGTGGTAAGTTTATCATAATTCATGATAAACTTTTTGGGGTCATACTCTTTGACCTAATAATTCTTATGGATGCCTGGTCTGAAGAAATCATCTTAAAGACAATGCTTTATGCATAATAGTGTTAACCATGCAGTGAAAACTGGAAAACAATTCATATGTTCAGCAATAGCACAATGGTTAAGCAAATCATGGATGAAGTATTAGACAACAAGCAAACAAAGTTTACAGAGAGGTATAATAACCTGGCAGAGTGCTTATGTTATGTTGTTAGGCTTTGAAAATCATCTATAAAATTATATGCATGTTTTACCAGTTGCTGTGTAACAAATCATTACAAAATGTAGGGCTTAAAACAACACACATTTATTATTTCAGAGTGCATGGGTCAGCCTAGGCTGGGTTCTTTTCTTCAGAGTTTGTCATGAGGTTACAATCAAAGTATTGCCCAGGGCTGTGTTCCCATCTGAAGACTTGACTGGTGCAGTATCTGCTCCCAAGCTCAGTCTCATAGATTTTGTCTGGATTTAGTTCCTTGAGGCTGTTGGAATGAGGCTTCCCTCATCTGACCAGGCAGCCGCCTCTATCAGGGCAGGCATGTGAGAAGAGCCAAAGAGAGAAAATGCTGGCACGATGCAATTCAGTCTTTTATGACCTAATCTTGAAATTGACATTGACACTTTTGCTGTATTCTATTTGTTAGAAGCAAGTCACTAACTAAGGTTCAGCCCACACTCAAGGTGAAGGAATTATAAAAAAGTGTGAGTACTAGAAGATGGGATGAATGAAAGCCATTTTAGAAGGCTGCCTATTATACAAGTCATAATTTTTAACTTTGTTAAAACCACATGGATAGGATAAAAGTTGGAAAGACATACACAGCAAAATGACTATTGTGGCTCTTTCTGAGTGAAGGATTTGGATATTGGTTCTTTCCTTCTTAAATGCTTCTGTACTGAATAGGCAACCTAGAAATAAATCCATATATTTAGACCCAACTGACTTTTGAGAGGACAAACATTGGGGAAAGGATACCCTCTTCAACCAATGGTGCTGGAAAACTGAATATACATACGAGAAAAATGAAACTAGATGCCTATCACCACATGCAAAACCAACTCAAAATGGATGAAACACTTAAATATAAGACTTGGAACTCTAAAGCTACCAGAAGAAAACAAGGGAAATGCTTCAGAACATTGCTCTAGGCAAAAATTTCATGGCAAAGACTCCAAAAGCACAGGCTACAAAAACAAAAGTAGAGAATTGAGTCTGTATTAGACTAAAAAGCTTCTGCTCAGCAAAGGAAACAATCAGCAGAGTGAAGAGACAACCTGTTGAATGGGAGAAAATTGCCAGCTGTTCATCCCACAGGGGACTAATATGCAGAATATACAAGGAATTCAAACAACTCAACAGTGAAAAACCAAATCCCATCAAAAAGTGGGCAAAAAGTCAGGTGTGGTGGCTCATGCCTGTAATCTCAGCACTTTGGGAGGCTCAGGTGGAAGAACTGCTTAAGCAGGAGTTCAAGACCAGCCTGGGCAACATGGTGAAACCCTGTCTCTACAAAAAATACAAAAATTAGCCAGGAGTGGTGGTACACACTGTAGGCTCAGCTACTAGGGAGGCTGAGGTGGAAGGATGGCTTGAGCCCGGGAGGTTGAGACTGCAGTGACCCAAGATTGCACCACTGCACACTCCAGCCTGGGCAACAGAGTGGGGCTCAAAAAAGAACATGGATAGACATTTCTCAAAAGAAGACATACAAATGGCCAACAGATATGTGAAAAAATGCTCAACAACACTAATTACCAAAAAAATGCAAATCAAAATCACAATGAGACGTTATCCCACCCCAGTTAAATGGCTATTACTAAAAGACAAAAAATAAATGCTGTGAGAATTCTGAGAAAAGGGAACTCTTATAGATGGTTGGTGGAAATGTAAATTATTATAGCCACTATAAAAAACAGTATGGGGGTTTCCTCAAAATCTGAAAATGGAATTATCATATGATCCAGCAATCCCAGTGCTGGGCATTTATCTAAGGGAAAGGAAGTCAGTATATTGAAGAGACACCTGCACCCTCATATTTATTGCAGCACTATTCACAATAGCTCAGATATGGAGTCACCATAGGTTTCCAACAACAGATTAATGGATAAAGCAAATGTGGTATATATTCATAGTAGAATGCCATTCAGTCATAAAAAAGAATGACATCCTGTCATTTGTGGCCATATGAGTGAGCCTGGAGGATGTTGTTACAAACAGATACGATGTTTTGTTTTGGGCAGACAAGAGAGGGTGGATCCCCACACCTGCCTTCCAGAAAAAAAAAAAAAAAATATATATATATATATATATATATTTTTGTTTGTTTGTTTGTTTGTTTTTTGTTTTGAGAGTCTTGCTCTGTTGCCCAGGAGTGCAACGGTGTGATCACTGCTCAATGCAGCCATGACCTCTCAAGCTCAAATGATCCTCCCACCTCAGCCTCCTGAGTAGCTGAGACCACAGGTGTGTGCCACCATGCCCAGCTAATTTTTTTTAAATGTAGAGATGAGGTCTCACCATGTTGCCAAGGCTGGTCTCAAACTCTTGGGCTCAAGCAATCCTCCTACCTCAGCCTCTCAAAGTGCTGGGATTACAGCCGTGAGCCACTGTGCCTGGCTGAAAAATATCCTTTATAAAGCAAGCTTTCTTGATAAAGCATGCTGCTGGTCATGCTTCAGACTTTCTTGCGAAATTTGTAACCACTGAGGAGGAGGTTAAACATTCTTATGAGGGGTTATCTATGTTATAGGCATTGCTTCTTTGTGAGGGGTAATCTATGCTATGTACATTGTTTAAAGACCTTGCTGCAGAAGCAGAAGTCAAACATTACTCATTATGGCAGTTTCACTTCAAAATGGTATCCTTCTTGCCAAGCAACAGGCTGTTTTCCTACAGGGCAGACGGTGAGAGGTTGGTTAATGGATACAAAATTACCGCTAGATAGGAGCAATGAGTTCTGGTTTTCTGCAGCCCTATAGGGTGAATATGATTAACTATATCTATCTATCTATCTATTTATTTATTTATTTAATTTATTTTTTTGAGACGGAATCTTGCTCTATCACCCAGGCTGGAGTGCAGTGGCGTGATCTCGGCTCACTTCAACCTCTGCCTTCTGGGTTCAAGCGATTCTCCTGCCTCAGCCTCCTGAGTAGCTGGGACTACAGGCACGTGCCACCATGCCGAGCTAATTTTTGTATTTTTAGTAGAGATGGGGTTTCACTGTGGTAGCCAGGATGGTCTTGATCTCCTGACCTCGTGATCCACCTGCCTTGGCCTCCCAAAATGCTGGGATTACAGGTGTGAGCCACTGTGCCCAGCCAACTATATATATATATATTTAATATTTTCATAAAGCTAGAAGGGAGGATTTTGAATGTTCATGTATTAGGCCATTCTTGCATTGCTCAAAAGAAATACCTGAGACTGGGTAATTTATAAAGAAAAGAGCTTTATTTATTTATTTTTATTTTATTTTATGTTTTGAGACAGAGTCTCGCTCTGTCGCCCAGGCTGGAGTGCAATGGTGTGATCTTGGCTCACTGCAACCTGGGTTCAAGCAATTCTCCTGCCTCAGCCTCCGGAGTAGCTGGAGTTACAGGCGCCTGCCACCATGCCTGGCTAATTTTTGTATTTTTAGTATTTTACAGACGGGGGTTTCACCATGTTCGCCAGGCTGGTCTCGAACTGCTGACCTTGTGATCTGCCCGCCTCAGCCTCCCAAAGTGCTGGGATTACAGGAGTGAGCCACTGTGCCCGGCCAGAAAAGAGCTTTAATTGGGTCTTGGTTCTATAGGCTGTACAGGAAACAATGTGCTAGCATCTGCTCTGCTTCCAGGGAGGCCTCAGGAAACTTACTATCTTGGTGGAAGGTGAAGAGGCAGTAGGCAGGTCACATGGGCAGAGCTGGAGCAAGAGAGAGATGAGGGAGTGCCACGCAAATGGCCAGATCTCGCGGGAACTCACTCACTATCATGAGGGCAGTACCAAGGGGATGACACTATATCAGTCATGAGAAACCTCCCCCACTGAGGCAGGAGAATAGGGTCTGGAAGCAGGCAACTTAAGGCCAGTTGGTGCTGACTTCCTAAAGCTGAATCGAGGGAAAACACAAGGTCTGGGGGCAGGGAATCTGAGACCAATTCACGATAATTTCCTAAAGCTGCATCAAAAGGGAAAAACACCTGGGTCTGGGGCAGGGACCCTAAATGCAGTTAACACCAACTTCCTACAGCTGAACCAAAAGGAACCCCACCCCCGCCCCCAACCACCACCTGAGTAGCAAAGGGTCAAAGGCTACTCTCCCTACACCCCTCCCCCTTCCACCACGTCTCAGATGGAAAGAGAGAGTGCCTTGAATTGGCAGCAGGCCAAGCACGGGCCATCCCTTCATCTGCAAGGGGCGCCAGTTCACCTCAGCCTTTAATTAGCCACAGGCCAAATCCTTCATCCAGATCAGGAGTAGCTGACAGGGACCTCAAATGGAGTATTTAACACCCAGAAAACTTTGTAACTGGGCCCTTCAGCCACTTGCTCCAGCCCACTCCCACCCTGTGGAGTGCTTTCTCACTTTTTTTTTTTTTTTTTAATTTATTGAGATGGGGTGTTGCTCTGTCACCCAGGCTGGAGTGCAGTGGCTCAATCTCAGCTCAATGCAACTTCTGCCGCTCGGGTTCAAGGGATTCTTGTGCCTCAGCCTCCTGAGTAGCTAGGACTACAGGTGCACACTACCATGCTCAGTTAAATTTTTGTATTTAGAGGCCGGGCGCGGTGGCTCACACCTGTAATCCCAGCACTTTGGGAGGCCGAGGTGGGCAGAACACGAGGTCAGGAGATCGAGACCATCCTGGCTAACACGGTGAAACTCCGTCTCTACTAAAACACAAAAAATTAGCCGGGCGTGGTGGTGGGCGCCTGTGGTCCCAGCTACTTGGGAGGCTGAGGCAGGAGAATGCTGCGAACCTGGGAGGCTGAGTTTGCAGTGAGCAGGGATTGCGCCACTGCACTCCAGCCTGGGTGACAGAGCAAGACTCCGTCTCAAAAAAAAAAAAAAATTGTTTTGTATTTAGAGTACATTGTGTTTGAGTATTTTGATGAGCCCAGGTTACCACATTCTCATTGCTTGGTTAGTTTCCAAGCTGGCATCCTGCTTCCCTCTCTGGTCCTTCCCAAGCCATCCTACCAAGGCATGACTCATGGCTTCCCATTGCCAGGACCTTAAGGCCCCTTGAGCTTTCAGCCTTTCAGCCTCTTCTCCCATCATGACCTCAGGCAAGTCTTTCTGCTCTAGCTGAACTAGGACTCTAAACATACGGAACTCATACCTGCCTCCTGCCTTGGCTATTACTGATCCTCCCCCTTGGAAGACCCTCTTCTTTTTTCTCTGCTTCAAGGACCAGTTTAAGTTTCACCAGCTCATAGGGCCTGATATGGTTTGGCTCTTTGTTCCCACCCAAATTTCATTTTTTTTTTTTTTTTTTTTTTTTTTTTTTTGAGATGAAGTCTTGCTCTGTTGCCCAGGCTGGAGTGCAGTGGCATGATCTCGGCTCATCACAACCTTCGCCTCCGGGGTTCTAGCAATTTTCCTGCCTCAGCCTCCCAAGTAGCTGGGACTACAGGCCCAGACTGCCACGCCTGGTTAATTTCTTTTTTTTTTTTTTGTATTTTAGTAGAGATGGGGTTTCACCGTGTTGCCCAGGCTGGTCTCAGACTCCTGAGCTCAGGCAATCCACCCACCTCGGCCTCCCAAATTGCTAGGATTACAGGCATGAGCCACTGTACCCGGCCATCCAAATTTCATCTTATAGCTTCCATGAGTCCCACATGTTGTGGGAGGGACCCGGTGGGAGATGACTGAATTATGGGGATGGGTCTTTCCAGTGCTGTTCTCGTGATAGTGAATGGATCTCATGAGATCTGATGGTTTTTAAAATGGGAGTTGCCCTGACAAGCTCCTTTTTTGCCTGCTGCCATCCATCTAAGATGTGACTTGCTTCTCCTTGCCTTCCACCATGATTGTGAGGCCTTCTCAGCCATGTGGAACTGTAAGTCCAGTAAACCTCTTTCTTTTGTAAATTGCCCAGTCTTGGATATATCTTTATCAGTAGTGTGAAAGTGGACTAATACAGGGCCCTTCTTCTTCTTTTTTTTTTTTTGAGATGGAGTCTCGCTCTGTCGCCCAGGATGGAGTGCAGTGGTGCTGAGATGTGACAATGTGCTAGCAGCCCTCGCTCCCTCTCAGCACCTCCTTGGCCTCGGCGTCCGCTCTGGCCACGCTTGAGGAGCCCTTCAGCCCGCTGCTGCACTCTGGGAGCCCCTCTCTGGGCTGGCCGAGGCCGGAGCCGGCTCTCTCTGCTTGTGGGGAGGTGTGAGGGAGAGGTGTGGGCAGGAACTGGGGCTGCACGTGGCACTCGCGGGCCAGCGCGAGTTCTGGGTGGGTGCGGCTCGGCGGCTATTTTAGCTTTATTTTGAAATACTAGCTAAAAATTTCTCAAGTCTTGAGAGAGAGATGAACATCCAGGTACAGGAAGCTCAAAGAACCCTAAATAGATTCAATCCAAACAGGTCCTCTCTGTGGCACAGTATAGTAAAATTACCAAAAGTCAAAGACAAAGACAGAATTCTACAAGCAGCAAGAGAAAAGCATCAAGTCACATATAAGGCAACCGCCATTAGACTAACAGTGGATTTCTTAGTAGAAACCTTACAGGCTGGGAGAGAATGGGATGATATATTCAAAGTACTGAAAGAACAAAAACCTGCCAGCCAAGAATATTATACTCAGATTAGCTATCCTTCAGAAATGAAGGAGAAATAAAATCTTTCACAGACAAGCAAAAACTAAGGGGATTCATCACCACTAGACTGACCTCAAAAGAGATACTCAAGAGAGTCTTGCATCTGGAAGTGAAAAGGTAACAACCACCATGATGCGTATGAAACTACAAAACTCATTGGTAAGGCTGATATAGAAAAGAGAAAGAGAATGGACTAAAATCTTACTGTTACAGAAAACCACCCAACCATAAAAATAAACAATATGAGAGGAAGTAAGGAACAAAGGATATATAAAACAACCAGAAAACAATAAATAAAATGAGAAGAGTAAGTCCTTATCTATCAATAATAACCTAACCCTGAATGTAAACAAAATCAATTCTCAATTTAAAAGATATAGACTGTCTGAAAGGATAAAAAAGACAAGACCCAACTATATGCTACCTACAACAAACTCACCTCACCTGTAAAGACACACATAGGTTGAAAGTAAAGGAATAAAAAAAGATATTCCATGCAAATGGAAACCACAAGCAAACAGGAGTAGCTATACTTATATCAGACAAAACAGATTTCAAGTCAAAAGCTGTAAAAAGATACAAAGAAGAACATTATATAATAATAAAGGGATCAATTCAGCAACAGACTATAATAGTTGTAAATATATATGCACCGAACACCAGAACACCCAGATATGTAAAGCAAATATTATTAGACTTACAGGGAGAGATAGACATCAGTACAATGACAGTTGAGGACTTCAATACGCCACTGTCAGCATCGGACAGATCATCTAGATGGAAAATCAACAAAGAAACATTGGACTTAAACTACATCATAGGGACCAGGCATGGTGGCTTACACCTGTAATCCCAGCACTTTGGGAGGCCGAGGCAGGTGGAACTCTTTGAGTTCAGGAGTTCAAGACCAGCCTGAGCAACTGTCTTTAGAAAATACACAAAAATTAACTTGGCATTGGTGGTTCACACCTGTAGTCCCAGCTACTTGGGAGGCTGAGGCTGGAGAATTGCTTGAGCTCGGGAGGCAGAGGTTGCAGTGAACTGAGATCACTCCACTGCATTCCCGCCTGGGTGACAGCAAAATCCTGTCTCAAATAAATAAATGAATAAATAAATAATAAATAGAAAAATAAACTGCACCAGAGACCAAATGGATCTAACAGACATTTATGGATCATTTCCCCCAACAACCGAAGAATACATATTTTTGTTTTGTTTTGTTTTGAGATGGAGTCTCACTCTGACACCCAGGCTGGAGTACAGTGGTGCAATCTTGGCTCACTGCAATCTCTGCCTCCCCAGTTTCAAGTGATTCCCTTGTCAGCCTCCCCAGTAGCTGGGACTACAGGCACCCACCACCACACTTGGCCAATTTTTGTATTTTTAGTAGAGACAGGTTTCACCATATAGGCCAGGCTGGTCTTGAACTCCTGATCTCAAGTGATCCACCCACACTGGCCTCCCAAAGTGCTGGAATTACAGGCATGAGCCACTACATCCAGCCACGCGTTTTTTGTCAGCACATATAACAGTCTCCAGGATTGACCACATGTTAGGACACAAAACAAGTCTCAAAAATGTTTTAAAAATTGAAATTGTACCAGTGTCTTATCTGAATACAGGGAATAAAACTTGAAATCAATAAAAAGAAAATCACTCAAAATTATACAAATATATGGAAATTAAATGACATGCTCCTGAATGATCAGTGGGTAAAGGAAGACGTTAAGAATGAAATTTAATTGGTGAGGTTGCAGAGAAAAGGGAATGCTTATACGCTGCTGGTGGAAATAGAATTTAGTCCAGCCACTGTGGGAAACAGTCTGGAAATTTCTCAAAGAACTTAAATAACTATCATTTCGGGGCTGGGCACAGTGGCTCAGGCCTGTAATCCCAGCACTTTGGGAGGCCGAGGCAGGTGGATCACCTGAGTTTGGGAGTTCAAGATCAACCTGACCAACATGGAGAAACCCCATCTCTACTAAAAATATAAAATTACTTGGGTGTGGTGGCACATGCCTGTAATCCCAGCTACTTGGGAAGCTGAGGCAGGAGAGTTGCTTGAACCCAGGAGGCGGTGGTTGCAGTGAGCCGAGATGGTGCTATTGCACTCCAGCCTAGGCAGGAAGAGCAAAGCTCCATCTCAAAAAACAAACAAATACACACACACACACACACACACACACACACACACACACACACACACACTCACAAAACTACCATTTCGGGCAAGGTGCAGTGGCTCACACCTGTAATCCCAACGCTTTGGGAGGCCAGAGCAGGTGGATCATTTGAGGTCAGGAGTTCAAGACCTGCCTGAGCAACATGGTGAAACAACGTCTCTACAGAAAATACAAAAATTAGCCAGGCATGGTGTTGCATGCCTGTAGTACCAGGTACTCAGGACACTAAGGTGGGAGAATTGCTTGAACCTGGGAGGCGGAGGCTGCAGTGAGCTGAGATCACAACACTGCACTCCAGCTTGGGTGACAGAAAGAGACCCTGTCTCAAAACCAGAAACAAAAAAAAAAAATAAAAAACTACCATTTCGACCCAGCAATCCCATTTCTGAGTATATACTCAAAGGAATATAAATCATTTTACCAAAAAGACACATGCACCCATAAGTTCACTGCAGCATCATTCATAATGGCAAAGACATAGAATCAACCTAGATGTCCATCAATGGTGGACTGAATAAAGAAAATGTGGTACATCTATACTATGGAATACTATGCAGCCATTAAAAACAAAAACAATATTATGTCCTTTGCAGCAACATGGATACAGCTGGAGACCATTACCCTAAATGAATTAACACAGGAACAGAAAATCAAATACCACATCTTCTTACTTATAAGTGGGAACGGAACATGGAGTATACATGGACACAAAGATGAGAACAATAGACACCAAGGCCTACTTGAAATGGGAGGGTAGGAGGAGGGTGAGGGTCGAAAATTACCTGAGTGATGAACTCATTTGGACACCAAACCCCAGTGACACACAATTTACCTGTGTAACAAACCTGCACATGTTCCCCTTGAACTAAAATAAAAGTTTAAAAAGAAGGAACTTAAGGCTGGGCGCAGTGGCTCACATCTGTAATCCCAGCACTTTGGGAGGCCGAGGCAGGTGGGTCACGAGGTCAGGAGATTGAAACCATCCTGGCTAACACGGTGAAACCCCATCTCTACGAAAAATACAAAAAAATTAGCTGGGTGTGGTGGCAGGTACCTGTAGTCCCAGCTACTTGGGAGGCTGAAGCAGGAGAATGGCGTGAACTTGGGAGGCAGAGCTTGCAGTGAGCCAAGATCGCGCCACTGAACTCCAGCCTGGGAGACAGAGTGAGACTCCATCTCAAATAAAAAACAAAAAAAGGAACTTGAAATGAACAAAATTTTAAAATTTATTGCAACAAATAAAAACACAACATACCAAGCTGGGCATGGTGGTGCATGCCTGTAATCCCAGCAGTTTGGGAGGGAAAGGTGGGTGGATCACTTGAGGTCAGGAGTTTGAGACCAGTCTGGCCAATACAGTGAAACCCTGTCTCTACTAAAAATACAAAAAGTAGCTGGGCGTGATGGCACCCGCCTATAATCCCAGCTACTCAGGAGGCTGAGGCGGGAGAATCAGTTGAACCCGGGAGGTGGAGGTTGCAGTGAGCCCAGATCACACCAGTGCACTCCAGCCAGGGCGACAGAGAGAGACTCCGTCTAAAACAAAAACAAAAAACAAAAAACAAACAAACAAACAAAAAACAAAACAAAACCTATGGGACTCAGCAGAAAAACTATTAAGAGGCAAGTTGATAGCAATAAAGGTCTACATCAAAAAGCTAGAAAGATTTCAAAGAAACCACCTAATAATGCAACTCAAGGAACTAGAAAAGCACGAACAAGCCAGACTCAAAACTAGAAGGAAAGAAATAATAAAGATCAGAGCAGAAATAAAGAAAATTGAGACTAAAGAAATAATACAGCTGGGCACGGTGTCTCACTCCTGTAATCCCGGCACTTTGGGAGGCCGAGGCAGGTGGATCACCTGAGGTCAGGTGTTTGAGACCAGCCTGGCCAAACATGGTAAAAGCTCATCTCTACTAAAAATACAAAAATTAGCTGGGCATGGTGGCAGGTGCCTGTAATTCCAGCTACTTGGGTGACTGAGGCAGAAGAATTGCTTGAACCTAGGGGGCGGAGGTTGCATTGAGCTGAGATTGTACCACTGCACTCCAGCCTGGGCAAAAGAGCGAGACTCCACCTCAAAAAAAAAAAAAAAAAAAAGATATAATACAAAAGACCAACAAAACAAAAAGTTGGTTTTCTGGAAAGATAAAAAATGGACAAACTATTCGCTAGATGAAGAAAAAATGAGAGGATACATGAATAAAAACAGAAATGAAAAAGGAGATGTCATAATGGATACCACAGAAATAAGGATCATTAGGGACTAATATGAACAAATATATGCCAATAAATTAAAAAACATAGAGGAAAGGGATAATTTCCTGGACACATACAACCTACCAAGATTAAACCAAGGAGAAATAGAAAACCTGAACAGACCAATAACAAGTAATAAGATTGAGTCAGTAATAAAAAGTCTCCCAACAAAGAAAAATCCAGGACTGGATGATTTCACTTCTGAATTCTACTGAACCTTTAAAGAAGAATTAATAACAATTATTCTCAAATGACTCCAAAAAATTCAAGTGGAGGGAATTTTTCATAACTCATTTAACAAGGCCAGCATAACCCTGATACCAAATTTAGATAATGTCACAACAAAAAAGGAAAACTACAGGCCAAAGTCCCTGATAAACATTGATGCAAAAATTCCTCAATAAAATACTAGCAAACTGAATTCAACAACATATCAAAAAGATAATACAGCCGGGCATGGTGGATTACACCTGTAATCACAGCACTTTGGGAGGCTGAGGTGGGTGGATCACCTGAGATCAGGAGTTTGAGACCAGCTTGACCAACATGGAGAAACCCCATCTCTACTAAGAATACAAAATTACCTGGGCGTGGTGGTGCATGCCTGTAATCCCAGCTACTTGGGAGGCTGAGACAGGAGAATCACTTGAACCTGGGAGGCAGAGGCTGCAGTGAGCTGAGATCACACCACTGCACTCCAGCCTGGGCAATGAGAGTGAAACTCTGTCTCAAAAAAAAAAAAAAAAAAGATAAAAGATAATATGACACGATCAAGTGGGGGTTTATCCCAGGAATGCAAGGATGGTTTAACATACAAATCAATAAATGTGATACATTACATCAGCAGAATAAAGGACAAAAACCATATGATCATTTCAATAGATGCAAAAAACAGTATTTGATAAAATTCAACATCCCTTCATGATAACAACTCAACAAATTAGGCACTGAAAGAATGTCACTCAACCTAATAAAGGCCAAATATGATAAACTCACAGCTAACATCACAGTGAATAGAGAAGAACTCAAAGCTTATCCTCTATGAACTGGTACAAGACAAAGATGCTCACTCTCACCACTCTTATTATACACAGTGCTGGAAGTCCTAGCCAGAGCATTTAGGCCAGAGAAAAAAACAAAGGGCACCCAATTTGGAAAGGAGGAAATAAAATTTTCCCTCTTTGCAGATGACACGATCTCATATATTAAAAAACCCTAGGCTGGGCACAGTGGCTCACGCCTGTAATCCCAGCACTTTGGGAGGCCGAGGCGGGCAGATCACAAGGTCAGGAGATCAAGACCATTCTGGCCAACATGGTGAAACCCCATCTCTACTAAAGTAAAAAAATTAGCCGGGTGTGGTGGTGGGTGCCTGTTGTCCCAGCTACTCAGGAGGCTGAGGCAGGGGAATTGCTGGAACCCGGGAGGCGAAGCTTGCAGTGAGCTGAGATCACACCGTTGTACTCCAGCCTGGCGACAGAGCAAGACTCCGTCAAAAAAAAAACAAAAAAACAAAACAAAACAAAAACAAAAAAACCCAAAAGACTCCATAAGAAACTCCTCTTAGAACTGATTATGGATGGAGGAAAGTTGCAGAATACAAGATCGACATACAAAACTCAGTAGCGTTTCTATAAACAAATAATGAATTGCCTGAAAAAAAATAAAGAAAGCAGTCCCATTAACAGTAGCTACACATACATGCAAAATACCTAGGGATTTAACCAATAAGGTGAAAGAACTCTACCAGGAAAACTAGAAAACACTAATGAAAGAAACTGAAGAGGATACAAACAAAATATGCCACGTTTATGGATTGAAAGAATTAATATTGTTAAAATGACCATACTAACCAAAGCAATCTAGAGGTTCAATGCAGTCCCTATGAAAATACCAATGACATCCTTCACAGAAATAGAAAAAGAAATCCTAAAATTTACATGAAACCACAAAGACCCTGTTATTAGTCTGTTCTCACATTGCTATAAAGAACTACCTGAGTCTAAGTAATTTATGAATAAAAGAGGTTTAATTGACTCACAGTTCCACAGGCTAAACAGGAAGCATGATTGGGAGGCCTCAGAAAACTTACAAGCATGGCAGAAGGCAAAGCAGAAGCAAGCGCCTTCTTCCCGTGGTGTCAGGAGAGAGAGATTGAGAGTGTGAGGGCGGAAATGCCACACACTTTTAAACCATCAGATCTCATTAGAACTCACTATCACGAGAACAGCAAGGGGGAAATCCACCCCCATGATCTAATCAACTTCCCTAGGTCCCTTCCCTGACCCATGGGGATTACAATTTGACATGAGATTTGGGTGGGCACACAGAGCCAAACTATATCAGACCTCAAATAGACAAAAGAACAAAGGTGGAGGTATCATACTACCAGACTTCAAAATATACCACAAAGCTGTAGTAACCGAAACAGCATGGTACTGGCATAAAAACAGAAACACAGACCAATGGAACAGAATAGAGAACCCAGTAATTAATCCACATATCTATAGCCAACTGATTTTTGACAAAGTCAGAGAACATACATCAGAGAAAGGACAGCTCTTCAGTGAGCTGAGATTTTGTCACTGCACTCCAGACTGGGTGACAGAGCAAGACTCTGTCTCAAAAAAAAAAAAAAAAAAAAAAAAGGAACTGTCATATGATCCAGTGATTTCACTACTGGACATTTATCCAAAGGAAAGGAAATTGGTATACAGAAGAGAATAAATGGTGCTAGGAAAACTGGATATCCATATGAAGAATAAAACCAGATCCCCTTCTCTTGCCCCGTACACAAATAAACTCAAAATAGATCAAAGACCTAAAGGTAAGACCCAAAACTTTAACACAACTAGAGGGAAATATAAGGGAAATGCTTTAGGATATTGTTTAAGGAAAAGATTTTATGAACAAGAAGACTTCAAAAGCACAGGCAACAAAAGTAAAAATAAACAAATGGGTTTATATCAAATGGAAAAGCATCTGCACAGCAAAGGATATCCTGCAGAAGAATGGGAGTAAATATTTGCAAACCTTTCATCTGACAGGGGATTAATATTCAGTATATACAAGGAACTCAAACATCTCAATAGCAAAAAAAACAATCTAACTAAAAACGGGCAAATGATCTGAACAGACTTTTCTCAAAAGAAGACATACAAATGGTCAACAAATATATGAAAAAAAGCCAGCTGCGGTGGCTCATGCCTGTAATCCCAGCACTTTGGGAGGCTAAGGTGGGTGAATCACCTGAGGTTGGGAGTTCGAGACCAGCCTGACCAACAGAGGAACCCCATCTCTACTAAAAATACAAAATTAGCTGGGCATGGTGGCACATGCCTGAAATCCCAACTACTCGGGAGGCTGAAGCAGGAGAATCACTTGAACATGGGAGGCGGAGGTTGCAGTGAGCTGAGATCGCACCACTGCACTCCAGCCTGGGCAACAAGAGCAAAACTCCGTCTCAAAAACAAACAAAACAAAACAAAACAAAACTATATATATATATATATATATATATGAAAAAATGCTTAACACCACTAATCATCAGGTGTATGCAAATCAAAACCATGATAAGGTATCATCTCACCCCAGTTAGGAAGACTATGATCAAAAAGACGAAGATAACAAATGCTGGTGAGAATACTGAGAAAAGGGAATTCTTATACACTGTGGGTGGGAATGTAAACAAGTACAACCACTATGGAGAATAACATGGAGGTATCTCAAAAAACTATAAATAGACCTATTATACAAGGCTTGGCATGGTGGCTCATGACTATAATTCCAGCACTTAGGGAGGCTGAGATAGATGGATCCCCTGAGCGCAGGAGTTCAAGACCAGCTGGGCAACATGACGAAGCCCTGTCTCTACCCAAAATACCAAAAGTAGCTAGGTGTGGTGGCAGGCGTCTGTAATCCCAGCTACTTGGGACATTGAGGCAGGAGGATCACTTGAGCCCAGAAGGTGGAGGTTTCAGTGAGCCGAGATTGTGTCACTGCACCCCAGACTGGGTGACAGAGCAAGACTCTGTCTCAAAAAAAAAAAAGGAACTATCATGATCCAGTGATTTCACTACTGGACATTTATCCAAAGGAAAGGAAATTGGTATATAGAAGGGACACCTGCACCCTCACACTTATTGCAGTATTATTCACAATAGCCCAGATATAGAATCAACTTAGGTGTCCAACAACAGATTAGTTGATAAAGAAAATGTGGTATATGTACATAGTGGAATATAACTCATCCATAAAAAAGAATGAAATCCTGTCATTTGTTGGCAATTTGGATGGAACTGGAGGGCATCATGTTAAATGAAGTAAGCTAGAAACAGAGTTAGATACTGCATATTCTCACTCATATGTGGAAGCTAAAAAAAAAAGTTGGTCTCCTAGAAAGAAAAGTAAAACAGAGGCTAGAAAGGGTAAGGGGAAAGGAGCCATAGGGAGAGATTTGTTAAATGATACAAAATCACAGCCAGATAGGAGGAATAAATTCTAGTACTCTATATCACTGTAGAATGACTATAGCCAACAACAATATATATTATATAGTTTCAAATAGCTGGAAGGAGAACTCTGAATGTTCTCAATACAAAGAAATGATAAATGTTTGAGATGATAGATACGCTAATTACCCTGATCTGATTACTATACAGTGTATGTATCACAGCATCACTATGTACCCTATAAATATGTACAATTATTATGTTCCAATTTTAAAAACTTTAAAAGTAAAAAAATTTAAAAGAAAAAAGTGAAAAAATGAACAAAACAAAGAAGAAAATTCAACATATGAAAGTGTGTTGTAGGGACAGATTACGGGCAATTGCATTGGTTGACTTTCACAATCATTAACCATATTTTGAAGTCTTATATCACAATGAAGAGCTGCTTTTTTTCTTTTAGGACATGGCTCTCCTTGGAGAATATGTTCACCTTCATTTTCTTTCTTTCTTTCTTTTTTTTTTTTTTTTTTTCAGACCAATGACCTCTGAACTTTTTATTGGCCTCCTGCTTCCCAAAAGTTACCTGCTTCTGCTGGCTCAACGCCTCAGAACTTTGGTGTCATTGGTCTCAGACCCCACTTTGCCATCCACCAGCCTGCCGATGGTGCTCTTTTGGATGGTTTGTATGGAGTTGCTGCTGTACAGGGCATCACCGAGAATGAAGTCCTCCCTGTCTTCCAGCAGGCAGTGGTAGGTGGTGAACTCAGCTTCCAGCTTGACCTTGATGTTCATCAGGGCCTCGTACTCTTGGGTCTGGTGCTGCCCCTCTGTCTGGGTCTGTGCCGACTCTGACTCCAAGTGCAGCAGGACCCCATTGAGCTGCTCCCTCTGCATGGTGTAGTGAACCTCCACCACCCTCAGGCTGTTCTCCAAGCTGGCCTTCAGATATTGAGTCCAGGTCAATCTCTAAGGACTGAAGTGTATGTCTCAGCTCCGTGAGCATCATCTTAGCAGCTCCATGGACTGCTAAGATGACATTTACATCTAAGCGGACTGCGTGGTGACCACTGTGGTGCCCTCCTCAGTCTGCTGGGACCAGTACTTGTCCAGCTCCTCTCGGTTCTTCTGAGCCAGCTCGTCATACTGGGACTGGATGTCTGCCCTGATCTTGCTGATGTACCGAGATCTGGGGGCATCTACCTCCACGATTAACCCACAGCTGGCAATCTGGGCTTGTAGGTCTTTTACTTCCTCTTCATGGTTCTTCTCCATGAAGAGCAGCTCCTCCTTGAGAGCCTTGATCTCTGTCTCTGGCTGCAGCCAAGTGACATCAACGACCTCGCAGATCTCATGGATGTCACTCTCCACAGACTGGCGCATGGCCAGCTGTGTCTCATACTTGACTCTAAAGTCATCAGCAGCAAGACGGGCATTTTCAGCCTGAAAAATGATGCAGGCATTGTCCACAGAATTATCTGAGCCCTTAGGTTCTTGATGGTCTTGAAGTAATGCCCCTAGTCTCTGACCTGGGGTCCCTTCTATGCCAGGTGTTTCCAGATTTTGCTCTTGAGCCTCTGATTCTTGGTCTGCAGGCTCCTCGCTCTGTCCAGGTGGGAGACCAGGCAGTCATTCAGGCCTTGCATGTTTCCTTTTTGCTCTGGATGCCCCCCATTCCCGCCAGACCCTTGGCCATCCCTGCAGCCAGGTCCCCGGACTCCCAGCCTCCTTGGAAGCTGGTGGAGCAGGACATGAAGATCCAGGAGAATAAGCCCCCAGCACCTGCATAGACACTGGCCACGCTGCTCGTGAGCCAGACACTGTGCCTGGGTGACAGAGCTCAGCGACCAGTAGTTGGTGGAGAAGGTGGTGGAATGAGAGATGAAGCTCATGTTGTCTCGGGAGGAAAGAAAGGGGACAGGATTCAGGTTCTGTCCCCACCTTCATTTTCCACGTAGCACTGCTCTTTTTGAAATTCTTCTGGTTTGATATATGCTGACATGAGCATTCCCTATTAAAATTTCCCATCTTCTGTCTTTTGTGCCATGCTTCTATGTTTGTTGTTGTTTGTTTCTTTTTTAGACAGAGTCTTGCTCTGTCACCCAGGCTGGAGTGCAATGGTGCAATTTTGGTTCACTGCAACCTCCACTTCCTGGGCTCAAGCAATTCTCCTTCATCAGCCTCCCAAGTAGCTGGGGCTACAGGCACATGCCACCGTGCCTGGATAATTTTTGTGGTGTGTGTGTGTGTGTGTGTGTGTGTGTGTGTGTGGACAGATTTTGCCATGTTGGCCAGGCTGGTCTCAAACTTTTGAGCTCAGGTGATCTGCCCGTCTCGGCCTCCCAAAGAGCTGGGATTATAGGCATAAGCCACCGCGCCTGGCCTTGTATGTTGTTTTGGGTATGCAGAAATCCATTCTGCATGCCCCAGTAAAGGGGCCCCAAATTTGGTGGAAACAATACTAGTGATTGAATAGCAACATTGTTGCATAGGTGTCTTATTATTCTACCAGGCACATAATTATTTTACAACGATTCAGTAACTTTGTTAGCTTCTTCAGGTAAATATGCCTTTAATTCATCAAACACTCTTGGAATGTCATCAGCTGGAAGGAACATCAATGTAGACAAATTATGCCTTCTTAAACTGAAGTTATTGTTGTTGCCATATTGCTTGGCCAGTCCACTCATCTGAGTTTTCCACCAAATGCACTGGACTGAATGGAAAAAAAACAAACTTTATTGGAAACACCTTGAAATTCACTTTTAGTAACCTTGATCACACCTAATTCCAAATCTGTCATTATGGTTTGGGGATTCAATTGAAATCCATTTTCTTCTGCATAGTTCACCAAATCTTCAAATAAACTTTTATAAATTGCATCACTTTTTTCAGTCATTAATACATAAACAAGTGGATAAGTTCTAGGGTTTTCAGACCCAACAGGGGCATGAATTGTATATAGTTGATTTAAAAAAAAAATGAGTGACAGTTTTGAAAGTCCCATTTATGACTGGGCACAGTGGCTCACGTCTGTAATCCCAGTACTTTGGGAGGCTGAGGCAGGCGGATCACCTGAGGTCGAGAGTTCAAAACCAGCCTGACCAACATGGAGAAACCCCGTCTCTACTAAAAATACAAAATTAGCCAGGCATGGTGGAGCATGCCTGTAATCCCAGCTACTTGCTACTCGGGATGCTGAGGCAGGAGAATTGCTTGAACCTGGGAGGCAGAGGTTGTGGTGAGCCAAGATCGCGCCACTGCACTCCAGCCTGGGCAACAAGGGCGAAACTCTGCCTCAAATAAAAAAATAAAAATAAAAATAAAAAAGAAAGTCCTATTTATTCGCCAAAGTGAAGTATGTGCAAGTTTTTTTTAATGTTAGAGTTAGTGATAAACATAAAAATTCTATCTTCTTCAACAGTCAAACCCCTAATCAAGAATAGTTTGGCTGAGTGCAGTGGCTCATGCCTGTAATCCCAGCACTTTGGGATGCCAAGGCAGGAGGATTGTTTGAGCCCAGGGGTTTGAGACCAGCCTGGGCAACATGGCAAAAATTCTTTCTCTACAAAAAATACAAAAATTAGCCAGGTGTGATGGCACATACCTGTGGTCCCGGCTACTCAGGAGGATGAGGTGGGAGGATCATTGGAGCCTGGGAATTTGAGGCTGCAGTGAGCCATGATCATACCAGTGCACTCCAGCACAGGTGAAGAGTGAGACCCTGTCTCAAAAACAAACAAACAAACAACAACAACAACAAAAACTAGCTCACCATTTAATGTGTTTTGCTGGAGAAGCCTCAGTATCAGCGAGCATCTTTGGTTCAGAGGTCGCTGAGCTTGTTGGATTCTTTTTACTCCCTGATGAAGCACATTTTTTGAAAGCAAGCATGGCATGATGTGTGAAGGGGCAGAAGTCCTACATGATTCAATAATTCGGTAGAGGAGATTTCTTGCATTTTTTTTTTTTTTGCCAGCAGTTTCACTTCTATCATCTTCAAAACATTTGCTGCAATTGCATTTGGAAAGTGGTTCTGGCCTACAAATTTTTTAAGTATATGCTGTTTATTTGAAAGTCTGGTTATTGCCTGGCCATTGCAATTAAGTGATTTTCTATTTTCACAGAACTAAATTAGGTTCACACATCCACCCTTTGTGAACTCGGAACCCATATGCATCTCCTTGAGCTGTGCTTCATTTCCAAATAAAGACAGTAACAAGGTAATAGTTCCACCTAACATGATCTGTGATAGTGATTTTCAGGATTTTAGAATTTATGGATTTTGATCTTTTAGGATTTCAACATTCAGGGTTTTGTCTTTCGGGATTATTATCCAAAACTGCCTGACATATCTTCTGATTAAACTAGAAGCTCTGAGGGATTCCTTAGACCTCTTGGTGTTCCCATGGCCTGGCTGAATACCTAGCACAGGGTGGCATGCAATGTTAGTGAAGGAGAAGTCTGCTGGGGAGGTAAGAGGCTGGGTGCATTTTGAAAAGGGATTCATCTCCAGCAGATGCCAAGCTTGGGGCTGGGAGGAGAAACCACAGACCAGGAACATGTGTTCCCTTGGCAGATGGGCCTCTTGGGGTTGATCTGCTCCAGCAGGAGGCTAGGTTCTGACATCCAGCCTCATTGTCTCAGGCCCCAGTCCAAAGTCCCTGCCCTGATCAGTCAAGACCCGCATCCTTTGCTCTTCTGAAGGCTGGACTTGAAAGTCTCATTATCCTGGGAGAGTCTGATTTTCACCTGGCACTCAGGTCTCCAAAGATCCTAATAGTTTTTCTAGTTTCTACAAATGTTCTCAGCCCTGGGAATGGGACTCATGTTCAAGATGCATCCTTTATCACTTCCATCTGTGTGACCTTGGGCAGGTTCCTTCTAGACCTCAGGTTCCCATCTGCACTGCAGGATGCACTGTGCCTGCTCTGCACCCTTCCTCGCTCAGCAGCATGAGCCAGTGCATGCGCTGCCTGTGTATTAGTCTGTTCTCCCACTGCTATAAAGAAAGACCTGAAACTGGGTAATTTATAAAGAAAAGAGGTTTAATTGGCTCACGGGTCCGTAGGCTGTATAGGAAACATGGCTGGGGAGGACTCAGGAAACTTACAGTCATGACAGAAGGCGAAGGGGAAGCAAAGCACCTTCTTCTCATGGCGGCAGGAGAGAGACAGAGTGAAGGGGGAAGTGCCACACATGTTTAAACCATTAAATCTCGTGAGAACTCACTATCATGAGACCAGCAAGGGTGAAATCCGCTCCCATGATCAGTCACCTCTCACCAGACCCCACCTCCAACGTTGGCAATTACAATTCCACATGAGATTTGGGTGGGGACAGAAATCCAAACCATATGGACCTGTAACCCCTAAGGCTCTACACCACTTCCTGAGGGCCTGCATGCAGGGTGCCCTGCTGTCATCTATGTTAGCTCATTTTATTCTCAAAGCAATTGAGGCAGGTCCTCACTGTTACCTTTGTTTTTCTTCATTGAAATCTCATTTTAAATATATATAATTTAAACAATTCACACTCCCACCTGTAATCCCAACAAGTAGGGAGGCTGATGTGGGAGGATTGTTTGAGGCCAGGAGTTTAAGACTAGCCTAGGCAACATAGTGAGACCCTGTTTTTACAAAAAAAAAAAAAAAAAAAAAAAAATTCAAAATTTCAAAGCTCTAAAAGGTACACTCTGAAAAAGTCTTCCTCTGGCCTGGTGTGGTGGCTCATGCCTGTAATCTTAGCACTTTGGGAGGCTGAGGCAGGTAGATCACTTGAGGCCAGGAGTTTGAGACCAGCCTGGACAAAATGGTGAAACCTCATCTCTACTAAAAATACAAAAATTAGCTGGGTGTGGTGGTGGGTGCCTGCAATCCCAGCTACTTGAGAGGCTGAGGCATGAGAATCACTTGAACCTAGGAGGTGGTGGTTGCAGTGAGCCCAGATTGTGCCACTGCACTCCAGCCTGGGCAACAGAGTGGGCAACAGAGTAAGACTCTGTCTCCAAAAAAATAAAAATAAATATATAAATAAAATAATTATTAAAAAGTCTTCCTCCTTCCCCTTTTCCTTCCTCACCACCCAATTTTTCTTCCTGGAGGGAACCCGAAAGCCCATTTTTTGTTTATCTTTTCTGAGACATTTTTTGTTTTATGCATACACAAGTAAATGTGTGTAAATGTTATGTCTCTCCATCTCCTGCCTCGATTGGTGGCACGCTATACATGCATTCTGCACCTTGCCTTTTTTATTAACAATATACCCCATCCTCGTTATTTTAAATGAGAGGACTCTGAGGTTCGGCTTATGAAGCCTAGCTGGTGAATGCAGGTCTCTTTGAATGCACAGCCCGTGCCTCTCCTAAGCGGGGAGGCTCTGACTGCGAGGGAGCGTCAGCTGGCCTGGGCCCCCTGGATGTGCCCATTCAGGGCCTCTCCTCAATGAGCCCTGGGCAGCTCTGACTGCCACATCTCCTGGTGCCAAGGGAACTGGGAAGGAACTAACCAATGGTCCGGCCTGGCAGAGGGTCCGAGGACCTGGAGAAAAAAGGGCTTTGTTCCACACCCCCTGAAGACTGGCAGGAGTTGGCCTGCCCGGCCATGCTGCCTTTCTCTGCACCCTCTATAAGAGCAAAAACATTTTCTCTTCCTGCCAAGACCTGATGGCAGCCTGGCAGGTCCTGTGGTGGCCCCTCCGAGGGCCGGCTCCCACGCCTCACCGCCTTTTGATGGCCTTGCTGGAGATGGGCAGCTGCAGTGGTCCCTGCCAAGGCCTCAGGACTGGCCTCCCTGAGAATGTGAGATCCCAAGTCTGGATCTCATTGCCACACTGGGAAGGAACTCTCCCTGCCCGTGCTCTGGGCCAACCAGCCTAGTGGGGATTGGCGCAAGGGCTGGGGGCCAGGGAGAGCTGGCCAGCCTGAGCTAATGGGGAAGCATCATTGGTAGTTAAATGTGTAGTTATGTTTTTCCCTACAAAAAGCCCCATGACCTCTTCTTCCTCAGGCTCTCCTCTCTTCAAAAGCAGCTCAGCCTGAAAGGTCCCCTGGGAGGCTGCAAGCAGCTTCCGGTGCTGCGTGCTTGTGAGTGCTTACTCCTGGGTCCAGGCCTGCTGGCTGGGCTGGAGGGGAGTGCCAGGAGCCAGGAGCTGCCCGAAGCTCACAGCTCCAGTGGGGTTTCTCCTCAGAGGAGCCAGTGCCCCAGCCCGGATTTACTCTCTTTGCTCTCAGACGCTAAGCAAGGCGTCCAGCAGGTCCATCCCTGAGCAAACAGCCAATGGGCAGGGTCTCTGTGCCTCATCCTCCCAAGTGTGAAATGGTCACAACAAGGAGATTTGTTTGTTTGTTTTTTTCCATGTGCTTCAAAACACTCTTCCATAATTGAGATTTTATTGGTTGTGTTGAGGCTCAATACACAGACATTTCAGTTTGCACACAGTTCTTATCATATGTACTGAAAATCTAAAAAGCCATGTATTGTAATTCTTTTTAAAAGTTATTCCAGTGACTTTCCAGCTTAAAATTTGGAGGTAAATTTTCCTTAAGAGGCTATCAAGTACCAGTATTTTCACATGTGGATAAGCTGTTACAAACATCCCACCAATACACAACTGAACAGCAAATACACCACATACTCAAATTTTCAATCTTTCACAGCACGTTAACAAAGTTACTAGGAAAACAAGACTACCACGACCAAGGATGTTACAGAGTGCACACAATTCTCACAGGGACGGCCGTGATCAAGTGGATTTCTTTAGGAAACAATTCTGCTAAAAATCAATATGAGTAGGCCCGGCGTGGTGTCTCACGCCTATAATCCTAGCACTTTGGGAGGCCAAGGAGGGCAGATCACCTGAGGTCAGAAGTTCGAGACCAGCCTGGTCAACATGGTGAAACCCTGTCTCTACAAAAATGCAAAAAATTAGCTGGGCATGATGGCAGATGCCTGTAATCCCAGCTACTTGGGAAGCTGAGGCAGGAGAATCGCTTGAACCCGGGAGGCAGAGGTTGCAGTGAGCCGAGATCACGCCACTACACTCCAGCCTGGGTGACAGAGCGAGACTCCATCAAAAAAAAAAAAAAAAAAAAAATTAACAACAACATGGGAATAGAAGTAATTTAAAATGCCCAGGACATTAAATGCAGGACTGTGACTCCATATTGCCATTTAGTATGCTTTCTATTATAGGATATAAACACTAACCCTCCATCTATGGAATGTTAAGCTGACACCCAAGACAGTCAAAGCCTCCCAGAATTCAATAGCCCACACTATTTTCTGGTTGTACCAAAAAACAAACAAGCAGCAAATGGTTTCACCTTTTTAAAATAAGCATTTACACTTAAAAAATGAGATTAGATGTGATTCCCTCCTTCTTAAAAATGTTTCTAGGCCGGCCATCGTGGCTCACACCTGTAATTCCAGCACTTTGAGACACCAAGGCAGGCATATCTCTTGAGCTCAGGAGTTCGAGACCAGCCTGGGCAACAAAGTGAGACCCTGTCTCTACAAAAAATGCAAAAAAGGAGCCAAGCATGGTGGCATGCACCTGTGGTCCCAGCTACTCAGGAGGCTTAGGTGGGAGGATGGCTTGAGCCTGGGAGGCAGAGTGCAGTGAGCTGAAATGGCACCACTGCACTCCAGCCTGGGCATCAGAGCCAGACCCTGTCTCAAAAAAAAAAAAAAAAAAAAAAAACACTATTATTTTGTAAACTTGCATTTACAAAATAGTTGATGAAAATATATACTCGATTGTACAAAAAGGGAGATGGGGACCACTGATAAAACATGGTATGTGATTTAATCAGACTTGGCTTCCTTCTCTCCAGCTTCATCAGAGGCTGATTTTAGTTTCTCCGTTTTCTGCAGGTAAATCTTCTTTAGTTTCCTAGTTAGCCACTTAGCCTGTTTTCCCTTTGCCCCCCTTTCCCTTTTTGTTTGCACTTTTTTGTCCGAAGATTTATCCTTCTCTGCTGCCTGTTTCAGCTTTGTTTCCACTTTTGCAAGAGCAGGTTAGTTGACAACCGTGCCAACCTCCTCCTGGGCTCTTCCTTGGCAGCAGCGTCTGTGGAGCTGATCTTCCTCTTCCTCTTTGGCAGTGGGGAGGGCGTATGCCCAGTGTTGCCGGCCGTGGAGGAGCTGGGCTGCCTCAATGCTCACAATAAAAAGATTTGATGAAGGTGAGGAGGATTAAGGGAGGAGACCACCCCTCATATTGTCTTATGCCCAATTTCTGCCTCCAAAGAAAGAAGAAGTAAAAACTAAAAGGCAGAAATGGAATCTACAGGCAGATAGCCCAGCACTGCGCCCTGGGCCTGGTAGTTAAAAATCAACCCCTGACTTGGCTGGGCGTGGTGGCTCACGCCTATAATCCCAGCACTTTGGGAGGCTGAGGTGGGCGGATCACCTGAGGTTGGGAGTTGAAGACCAGCCTGACCAATATGGAGATATCCCGTCTCTACTAAAAATGCAAAAAATTGGCCAGGTGTGGTGGCATATGCCCGTAATCCCAGCTACTCAGGAGGCTGAGGCAGGAGAATCGCTTGAATCCGGGAGGCGGAGGTTGTGGTGAGCCGAGATTGCGCCACTGCACTCCAGCCTGGGCACAAGAGCAAAACTCCATCCCAAAAAAAAAAAAAAAAAAAAAAAAGAAAAATCAACCCCTGACCTAACTGCTTGTGTTATCTGTAGATTTCAGACATTGTATGGAAAGGCATCATGAAAATCCCTGTCCTGTTCTGTTCCATTCTGATTACCGGTGCATGCAGCCCCCAGTCACGGATCCCCTGCTTGCTCAATCAATCATGACCCTTTCACGGGGACCTCCTTAGAGTTGTAAGCCCTTAAACGGGACAGGAATTGCTCACTTGGGGAGCTCGGTTTTTGGAGACATGAGTCTGCCAGTGCTCCCAGCTGAATAAAGCCCTTTCCTTCTACACCTCAGTGTCTGAGGGATTCTTGTCTGCAGCTCATCCTGCTACATGATGAAGCCGGGAGAGGAGCAGGCTGTAGCCCAGCCTCTGCTGGGAGAAACTTTGCCGGAAGAGCAAAAATAGAGGGGCCTGTTGGTGGCAGGTGGGGAGAGGAGAGAGCTTTGTGTTGGCTGGGGTCCACACTCAACCCAAGTGTTACCAGAAAGAGGTCCTGATCCAAACTTCAAGAGAGGGTTCTTGGATCTAACCCAAGAAAGAATTCAGGCATGTCTGTAGACTGAAAGCAAGTTTATAAAGGAGTGAAGGAATAAAGAATGGCTATTCCAGAGGCAGAGCAGCCCTGAGGGCTACTGGTTGCCCATTTTTGTGGTTATTTCTTGATTATATATGCTAAACAAGGGGTGGACTATTCATGCATCCCCTTTTTAGACCATATAGGGTAACTTCCTGACGTTGCCATGGCATTTGTAAAGTGTCGTGGCGCTGGCGGGAGTGTAGCCATGAGGACGACCAGAGGTCACTCTTGTGGCTATCTTGGTTTTGGGGGATTTTGGCCGGTTTCTTTACTGCAACCTGTTTTATCAGCAAGATCTTTATGACCTGTATCTTGTACCAATCTCCTATCTCACCCTGCAACTTAGGATGTGTAACTGTCTGGAATGCAGCCCAGTAGGTTTCAGTCTCATTTTACCCAGCTCCTATTCAAGATGGAGTTGCTCTGGTTCAAATGCCTCTGACACTGGGACGTCGGCCCCCAAATGTGGTACCAGGGGGACATGGCCCAGGGCATCTTCAGCATGGGCCTGTCCTGTGGGGGATGGCAAGGAGAGACATCAGTGTTCTGGATGTAGGTCCGGTCCGGTACCCCGAGAATGGAGTGCCCCAACGTAGGTCACAGCCCACTTGAAGCAGCTGCAGATGGCAGCCTTGTAGAGGCAATGCAGCCTGCAGCCTTTCCCAGTGGTGCAGGGGCCAAGAGAAAAACATTCTCTTTGCCATCTGAAGGTCCACTGAGAATCACTGACAAAAGGCAGACTAACAGGCCAAAAAGCATACAAACTTATTTGATCACAATTTTATGTGACAGAGGAACCTTCAGAATCAAGACCCCAAAGATACAGGGGAAGCTGTCTATTTTTATGCTTAGGTTCAGAAAAGTATGAGTGGTTGTGCAGAACTATGATTGGACAAAACTCTAATGCTAATAGGTTGAGTGGGGAAATGCAGCAAGTCCTGTCTGTATATTTTCTTCTTGGCCTCTCTACGCAGCATTCCTTCCTTCTGGGTATGGGGCAAGACCCTCTCTGGAACGGGGATCTTGTGACCTACTATCAAACAAAGTAGGTTAGATAATTTCTTTTCTTTTTTTTTTTAAGACAGGGTCATTCTGTTGCCCAGCCTGTAGTGCAGTGGTGTGATCCTGGCTCACTGCAGCTTTGACCTCCCAGACCCAGGTGATCCTTCCGCCCCAGCATACCCAGTGGCTGGGACCACAGAGCATGCACCACTGCACCTGGCTAATTTTTAAGTTTTCTGTAGAGAGGAGGTTTCACCATGTTGCCTAGGCTCATCTGGAACCGCTGGGCTCAAGCCATCCACCTGCCTCCTCCTGACTAAGTGCTGGGATTATAGGCATGAGCCACTGCACCTGGCCTGGTCAGATGATTTCTTTACAGCCATGTTTTACACAGAAAAAGGGAGGAAGTTAGAGTAATATTTTGGGGTTTGATGGCTGGCTTTGGGGAAAAGGGGTTTGGTTTCTAAGACCTGCTTTAGGGAAGAGAGACTCTAGTTTCTGTGGCTAGCCTTGGGGGCCAGAAACAAGAGGCAGGAGAAGATGAGATCGAAACTTTTGCTTCTGAGGCTGCCCTTGAGGCCTCCAATTTGGAGGAGCATCTTTTGAGCCCCAGTCGCAGCATAGGGGAAAATGGTCATAATACTTGCAGAGGGTAAGAAGAAGGCTATGGGTCCCCCCGGGGAAGTTCAGGACAGCAATTGTGCAGGAGTTCTCTGGGAGGTACTGGAAAGCAAGCAGGGGACTGTCACCCCAGGAATGCAGGAACCAAGGTTCGGTGCTAACTCAGAAGGGGGAGGGTGTTGGGAGACCCTCCCGATCCTCCCTTCCAAACACATCCTTCAGGGAGTTCAGGCAGCAAGTGGGCATCCACGTGCTTCTTCATGGAGAAAATAGAGTTTTCTCTGGCATGGGGTTTTGAGAGTTCGGCTGACATCCCTGGCAGCTGAAAGGCATTAAACCTGCAGCCAGAAGGCCTTACGGAGAGACATTCAGAGTGTGCTGTGTGTGATTCAAGCAGTCTGACCTGTCTCTGAGAGCCACTGTGGTTTTGTTGAGATGGGCACTGGGCACTTGTGCTTTGTTAGTCCTGGATGAGCTTGTTTCCCCATGGGACTTAGAGCTTCTCCTGGTCACCTTCATGTTCCGTTGGCATCCAACACAGGCTTGCCAGGTAGGACATGCTCAGTATGAGGATGGAAAATTTAATAAACCATTTGAAATTTTCCAGAGCCATTTTGCAAGTATGAATCAACTGAGGCTTGTAAATAATTAGAGGGATCTGTCTGGTGTAGGACACCCTACTTTTGTTCTTTCCCCTCCCACCCTAGTAGAAAAGAAATTTTTAGCATGATAATGAGGCAAAGTCAGGTTAGGAGAGGTCATGAAAAAAGGTTTGGCCTGGCGCTGTGGCTCACGCCTGTAATCCCAGTACTTTCGGGGGCTGAGGCGGGCGGATCACGAGGTCAGGAGATCGAGACCATCCTGGCCAACATGGTGAAACCCCGGCTCTACTAAAAAATAAAAAAAATTAGCTGGACGTGGTGGCATATACCTGTAATCCTAGCTACTCGGGAGGCTGAGGCAGGAGAATCACTTGAACCAGGGAGTCAGAGGTTGCAGTGAGCCGGGATCGTGCCAGCCTGGCAACAGAGAGAGACTCCATCTCAAAAAAAAAAAAAAAAAAAAAAAAAGGAAAAAGAAAAAAGGTTTGTCTGCCTGCAGATTCTCACCTTGGTGAATCTGAAAGACCCAAGCCCCCTAGAGTAGGTGAGTCCCCATCTCTGCCCACTCCTCTAGGATGGAACCAGGAACAAGGTTCCAGGACCACACGTGGCAGCTGTCAGGGTGGCACCAGGCTTGCAGGGAGGGCAGAGAGGACAAAAAAGGGAAAGGGAGGAATACCAGAGAGAAAAAGGGATGCCTGGATCTCTATGCAAGCCTACCCTTATGGGAAAAATAAAAAGTAATATTTTGCACCACCCTATGAAATTGCTCATTGACTAAGAAGATTTTGTTCCAGGTAAGGAATAAGATCCGCAGTACCTTCTTGAGTATTGCAATGAGGGAGTTAAGCTGCCAAGCATGTTGCTAATATTTTGAATGAACCCAGGAGATATCACCCCCCAAAATGCCACATTGGTATGCTGATTGCTTCAAACTGAAGGCTTCTGGGAAAACAATGGATACACAGAGGGGCTTTTCCTGAATTTCCCTTATCTGAGTAAAGGTAGATTCTCCAGAAGGAAGCCAATTGTCATGAAAACCCTCCCTAGAAATTTGTATCTATCAGGAAGATTAACATGAGGACTCAAACCTAGGAGAGATTAAAGTTGACATTTCATCCAGACAGTCTATTACCTATTCTTCTGAAGTCTCATCTTCTTTTTTTCTTTCATAACCATTTGTATGTTGGCCTATATATCCCACTTCCCTCACCCCCATGAAGAAGGATATACAGTCATGTGATGGGTAGGGATGTTTCAGTCAATGACAGACCACACGTAAAATGGTGGCCCCATGAGAATAAAATGGAGCCAATTTTTTTTTTTCTTTTTTTGAGACAGGGTCTCACTCTTGCCCAGGTTGCAGTGCAGTGGCCTGATTCATGGCCCACTGCAGCCTGGACCTCCTAGGCTTAACCAATCCTTCTGCCTCAGCCTCTGAGTAACTGGGACTATAGGTGCATGCCATCATACTGGGCTAATTTTTTAAATTTTTTTGTAGAGACAGGGGTCTCACTATGTTGCCCAAGCTGGTATTAAACTCCTGGCCTCAAGTGATCCTCTCATCTTGGCCTCCCAGAGTGCTGGGATTACAGGTGTGAGGCCATAGGCCTGGCTGAGCTGAAAAATTTCTATCGCCTAGTGACACCTAGCCTTGGTAATGTCATAGTGTAACATATTTTCTACAGTTAGACATGTTTAGATATGCAAATATTCACCATTGTGTTACAGTTGCCTACAGTAGTCAGTGCAGTAACATACAGTAAAGTTTATAGCCTAGGAGTAATAGGCTATACCTATAGCCTAGGTGTGTGGTAGGCTATGCCATCGAGGTTTGTGTAAGGGCACTCTATGATGTTCTCACAATGATGAAATTGCCTAATGGTGCATTTCTCAAACATGTCCCATTCCTTAAACAGTAATGATTAGAGAATGTCATTGGGTTACTGGGTATTCGCTTTTCTGTGATGCCTCTGTTGGGGGTCATAAAACAATAGCCCAAGAAGAAGGCCTCAGAGGCAGCTCTCTCTGACCTTCTAATCTCCTGTTTCTAGACTCTCATTTTCTCTAGAGGCTAGCCATAGAAACTAGAATCCCTCTTCCCAAGGGAGGTCATGAAAACCGGACCCCTTTTCCCCAATGCCAGCCATAAAACCCAAAATATTACTAACTCCTCCACCACCCCAGCCTTTCTGTCTGTGTAAGAACTGGCTGTAAAGAAATTGACCTTTTTTTTTTTTTTTTTTTTTTTTGAGATGGAGTCTCTCTCTGTTGCCTAGGCTAGAGTGCAACGGTGTGATCTCGGCTCACTGCAACCTCTGTTTCTTGGGTTCAAGTGATTCTCCTGCCTCAGCCTCCTGAGTAGCTGGGACTATAGACGCCCACCACCATGCCTGGTTAATTTTTTGTATTTTTAGTAGAGATGGGGTTTCATCATATTGGCCAGGCTGGTCTCGAACTCCTGACCTTGTGATCTGCCCGCCTCGGCCTCCCAAAGTGCTGGGATTACAGGCGTGAGCCACTGCGCCCGGCCTTTTTTTTTTTTTTTTTTCAGATGGTTCAAGTGATTCTCTTGCCTCAGCCTGCCGAGTAGCTGGGATTACAGGCATGCACCATCATGCCTGGCTAATTTTTTGTATTTTTAGTAGAGACAAGGTTTCTCCATGTTGGTTAGGCTGGTCTCAAACTCCTGACCTCAGGTGATCCGCCTGCCTCATCCTCCCAAAGTGATGGGATTAGAGGTGTGAGCCACCATGCCCAGCAGAAATTGATCTATCTTATCTGACCTATCTTGTAGATCATAAGACCTCTATTCCAGAGGGGGTCTTGCCCCATACCCAGAAGGAAGGAATGCTGCACAGAGGCGCTAAGAAGAATTTACACAGAGAGGGCTTGCTGGGTTTCCCTGCTCAGTCTATTAGCGCTACATCGTACCCTTTTGACCAATCACGTTTCTGAATGACTGTCCATACCATGCGGAACCTAAGCATAAAAATGGACAGTTTTCCTATATCCTTAGGCCTTCTTTCTGAAGGTTCTCATGTCACATAAAACTAAGATCAAATAAATTTGGGTGCCTTTTCTCCTATTCATCCACCATTTGTCAGGTGATTTTTCACTGAATCTTCAGAGGGTGAAGGGTAAGTTTTCCCTTTGCCCCTACACCCTGCTTCCCATTCCCATGCAAATAAATTTGTATGCTTTTTTTCCTGTTAACCTGTCTATTGCTGGTTTTTTGTTTGTACGTTTGTTTTGTCTTTTGCTAGCAGACTTAAAGACTGGAACCAAAAGTTTCATCAGTGGAAGAAAACTAGAGAATTGAAAGATCTGATCCCTGCAGTAGTGGTGGAAATTCAGGAGGTCCAAGGGCCCAGGGACTTGAGCAAAGAAGTAGGACACTGAGTGAAGTACCTGGCAGAACAGTCTTCTTTGAAAGGGAGGCTGGGTCTAGGTTCAGCAAGAGCTTGAGAACATGATGCGTCTGTAACATTTATTGAGCACCTACTGTAAGCCAGGCACTGTAATCACAAAGAAGGAAGAGACTGTAATTTCTCTTGAGGAACTAATGGTCTTGGGGAACAAGAAAGGATATGGGAACAAAACAAATTTTAACTCCTTTTATATACCTGGGCTGGTGCAAGTTACAACTACAGTCGGCCCTTTGTATCCACAAGTTCTACATCCTTGTATTCAACCAGCTGTGGATTGAAAATATTTGTGGAAAAAAATACAACAATAAAAAATAATACAAATTTAAAAATACAGTGTAACAAGTATTTATATAGCACTTACATTGTATTAGGTATTATAAGCAATCTAGTGATGATTTAAAGTATAGGGACTGAGCACAGTGACTCACTGTGGGAGCCCGAGCACTTTGGGAGGCAGAGGTAGGAGGATCTCAGCACTTTGGGAGGCAGAGGTAGGAGGATCTCAGCACTTTGGGAGGCTGAGGTAGGAGGATCTCAGCACTTTGGGAGGCTGAGGTAGGAGGATTGCTTGAGCTTAGAAGTTTAAGACCAGTCTGGGCAGCATGGTGAGACCCAGCCTCTACAAAAAAAAAAAAAAAAAATTAGCCAATATGGTGGTGTGAGCCTGTGGTCCCAGCTACTTGGGAGGCTGAGGTGGGAGGATTGCTTGAACTTGGGAGGTCGAGGCTGCAGTGAGTTGTGATCATGCCACTGCACCCCAACCTGGGCAACAGAGGGAGACCCTGTTTCAAAAAAAAAAAAAAAAAAAAAAAAGAAAAGAAAGGAAAGAGAGGAAGACTGTGATAGTTATCATTTAGTATTATTTCCTTGTTAACCATTTTTATAGCCTGTGAAGTTCAAGTGTTTACCTAAGTAAGAACATTAAATTTAAATAAATGTTTTTTGTTTTTTTTTTTTTGGCCAATAACTCAGGATTTAGCTGTTTCCATCAAACCAACAATTTAATTAAATGCCTTAGTTATACAAATTTACACAAAGATAGTAACCCTCATGCCAAATATATATATATATATATTTTTTTTTTTTTTTTTTTGAGACAGAGTTTCACTCTCGTTGCCCAGGCTAGAGTGCAATGGTGTGATCTCAGCTCACTGCAACCTCCGCCTCCCAGGTTCAAGCGATTCTCCTGCCTCAGCCTCCCAAGTAGCTGGGATTACAGGCACGTGTCACCACTCCCAACTAATTTTTGTATTTTTAGTAGAGATGGCGTTTGGTCATGTTGGTCAGGCTGGTCTCAAACTCCTGACCTCAGGTGATCTGCCCACCTCAGCCTCCCAAAGTGCTGGGATTACAGGCATGAGCCACCATGTCTGACTGACACCTTATAATATTTAGGAGAGATAAATATGAAACCACTTGACCAACGAATCTAAACAATAATGTATGTTAAGAATTCTGAAGACATTTCTAATTTTATCAATTAAAACCAGCTTATTAAGGATTTACTTAAGTCACATGAACTTGAGAAAGCATTTGGGCTTAAAGTTCCTATTTTTCTGATAAAGTTTTTTTTTTTTCTTTTTTTTTTTGAGACAGAGTTTTGCTCTTGTTGCCCAGGCTGGAGTGCAATGGCACGATCTTGACTCACTGCAACCTCCGCCTCCCAGGTTCAAGCAATTCTCCTACCTCAGCCTCCCGAGTAGCTGGGATTACAGGCATACGCCACCACACCCGGCCAATTTTTTGCATTTTTAGTAGAGATGGGGTTTCTCCGTATTGGTCAGGCTGGTCTTGAGCTCCTGACCTCAGGTGATCCACCCACCTTGGCCTCCCAAAGTACTGGGATTACAGGTGTGAGCCACCATGCCTGGCCCTGATAAAGTATTTAAGAGCTTTTTTAAAAAAGTCAATTAATTAGAGCTCTTTTATATATTTTTGGTAGTGAAACATCATATACATGACACATAAATACATGGACTTATTAGACATGCAGATAGAAGCTCATAGATTCATAAGACTCCCCTTTTCAGTCTCCTATTTTAGAGTTCTAATTTCTTGATAATCCGTGTCATTTCCCTAGGCAATTGTCAGCTAGATAGCTCTAAATTTGCATACCAAAGGAACAACTCTAAGTGAAAATCAGAGAGTGAAATTTACATCTCAAAGTACAGACGAAGTCTAGGTGTGTTAGCAGGAGATTAAAAACGGATACCAAGCCAAACATAAAATGATAGAAAAATACCATAGGATTTGATAAGGAGACAAATTTTGTTTAGATAGGTAGTTTTAAATTTACTCTCTATCTTTTAACTGGACCTCTGAGCTCTGGGTGGAGCCCACACTGAATCCTAGTTCTCCAAACAGAGTGACATCATGGGACTAGGCCATGTAATGTGCTTAACGGTGCACTGTTACAAAGATATTTCTCTAAGTGTTTAAACCACACCACTGAGGAGAATTGCTTGAACCAGGGAGGCGGAGGTTGAGGTGAGCCGAGATCGCACCATTGGGCCATGAGACCTAGGTTTGATACCTGACACTGGAAAGGGATTAACCATGAAGACTTCAGGAAGTCACTTAACCTCTCTTCAGCTCAATTTCTTTACTGAGATGCCAATCTACATAGACTAATAATTAGCCTCAGAGGGACTAGCGTATAGTATACATGTAATACATTATTATCATAATTTCTATAGATTGGCCAGTATGGGAAAATAAGAGAAAACTACCTCAAACCTGCCGAAGGAAGTTATGGCAAATTTCCTAGATCTCAATTGTCTTAAGCCAGCCAGGCTGACAAGGGAAACACATTCTATGCAAAAGGAATTACATATGCAAAGAGACAAAAGTATGGAAGATAATGACATGATATTGTATCAGGAACACAACATTGAGGTAACTTGGTCAGGGCATGTCCAGAAGGGTCAGAAGGTGAGCTGGAAAATGTCAGTTGGGGCCAGATCATTACAGAGTACTCCATCTTGAGTATATCACTTAAGAACTTTAAGAAAAGGAATGCAGCTCTCCCTCTCCCTCTCGCTCTCCCTCTCCCGCTCCGTCTCCCTCTCCCTCTCCCCACGGTCTCCCTCTCATGCGGAGCCGAAGCTGGACTGTACTGCTGCCATCTCGGCTCACTGCAACCTCCCTGCCTGATTCTCCTGCCTCAGCCTGCCGAGTGCCTGCGATTGCAGGCACGCGCCGCCACGCCTGACTGGTTTTGGTGGAGACCGGGTTTCGCTGTGTTGGCCGGGCCGGTCTCCAGCCCCTAACCGCGAGTGATCCGCCAACCTCGGCCTCCCGAGGTGCCGGGATTGCAGACGGAGTCTCGTTCACTCAGTGCTCAATGGTGCCCAGGCTGGAGTGCAGTGGCGTGATCTCGGCTCACTACAACCTACACCTCCCAGCCGCCTGCCTTGGCCTCCCAAAGTGCCGAGATTGCAGCCTCTGCCCGGCCGCCACCCCGTCTGGGAAGTGAGGAGTGTCTCTGCCTGGCCGCCCATCGTCTGGGATGTGAGGAGCCCCTCTGCCTGGCTGCCCAGTCTGGAAAGTGAGGAGCGTCTCCACCCGGCCGCCATCCCATCTAGGAAGTGAGGAGCGCCTCTTCCCAGCCGCCATCACATCTAGGAAGTGAGGAGCGTCTCTGCCTGGCCGCCCATCGTCTGAGATGTGGGGAGCGCCTCTGCCCGCCGCCCCATCTGGGATGTGAGGAGCGCCTCTGCCCGGCAGCTGCCCCGTCTGAGAAGTGAGGAGCCCCTCCGCCCGGCAGCTGCCCCGTCTGAGAAGTGAGGAGCCTCTCCGCCCGGCAGCCACCCCATCTGGGAAGTGAGGAGCGTCTCCGCCCGGCAGCCGCCCCATCCGGGAGGGAGTGTGGGGGGTCAGCCCCCCCGCCCGGCCAGCCGTGCCATCCGGGAGGGAGGTGGGGGGGGTCAGCTCCCCGCCTGGCCAGCCGTGCCGTCCGGGAGGGAGGTGGGGGGGTCAGCCCCCCGCCCGGCCAGCCGCCCCGTCCGGGAGGGAGGTGGGGGGGGGTCAGCCCCCCCGCCCGGCCAGCCGCCCCGTCCGGGAGGTGAGGGGCGCCTCTGCCCGGCCGCCCCTACTGGGAAGTGAGGAGCCCCTCTGCCCGGCCAGCCGCCCCGTCCGGGAGGGAGGTGGGGGTGTCAGCCCCCTGCCCGGCCAGCCGCCCCATCCGGGAGGGAGGTGGGGGGGGTCAGCCCCCCCGCCCGGCCAGCCGCCCCGTCCGGGAGGTGAGGGGCGCCTCTGCCCGGCCGCCCCTACTGAGAAGTGAGGA
This sequence comes from Homo sapiens, assembly GCF_000001405.40. Classification (NCBI taxonomy): domain Eukaryota; kingdom Metazoa; phylum Chordata; class Mammalia; order Primates; family Hominidae; genus Homo; species Homo sapiens. Next base: position 88,941,480 of record NC_000015.10, on the reverse strand, counting down.
GCCCCTCTGCCCGGCCAGCCGCCCCGTCCGGGAGGGAGGTGGGGGGGTCAGCCCCCCGCCCGGCCAGCTGCCCCGTCCGGGAGGGAGGTGGGGGGGGGTCAGCCCCCCTGCCCGGCCAGCCGCCCCGTCCGGGAGGTGAGGGGCGCCTCTGCCCGGCCGCCCCTACTGGGAAGTGAGGAGCCCCTCTGCCCGGCCACCACCCCGTCTGGGAGGTGTGCCCAACAGCTCATTGAGAACGGGCCAGGATGACAATGGCGGCTTTGTGGAATAGAAAGGCGGGAAAGGTGGGGAAAAGATTGAGAAATCGGATGGTTGCCGTGTCTGTGTAGAAAGAAGTAGACATGGGAGACTTTTCATTTTGTTCTGCACTAAGAAAAATTCCTCTGCCTTGGGATCCTGTTGATCTGTGACCTTACCCCCAACCCTGTGCTCTCTGAAACATGTGCTGTGTCCACTCAGGGTTAAATGGATTAAGGGCGGTGCAAGATGTGCTTTGTTAAACAGATGCTTGAAGGCAGCATGCTCGTTAAGAGTCATCACCAATCCCTAATCTCAAGTAATCAGGGACACAAACACTGCGGAAGGCCGCAGGGTCCTCTGCCTAGGAAAACCAGAGACCTTTGTTCACTTGTTTATCTGCTGACCTTCCCTCCACTATTGTCCCATGACCCTGCCAAATCCCCCTCTGTGAGAAACACCCAAGAATTATCAATAAAAAAATAAATTAAAAAAAAAAAAAAAAAACCACACCACTTATTATCTTAAAATATGCAAGAGTAACCCCTGTACAGGGTAATCACGATTTTGGTAAAAAAAAAAAAAAAAAAAGATCAGGTAACATAAGAACAAGCAGTTGAAGATCTGTAAACCAAAAATAAAGTTCCAAGCTCCTCACCCAACTGAATGATCATTCCTCTTGGCCAAGGGCATTCCAAAATGAAAGTGAAAAACTAGTTCAGCCCATGATGGGAAGCAGGAGTCAGACATGCCCTATTATACCCTCTGACCATTGCAATTCAGGCACCGCTGACCAGCACTAACATCAACACAGACCTTAAGACCGATAGAACAGTCTGATAATAACACTTTCTAAGTCTGATAAGAAACATTTACGATCTACTCTCTCTGAATCTGGACTGAACCAATGTACATCTTATATGTATTGATTAATATCTTATGCCTTCCTGAAATGTGTAAAACCAAGCTGTAGCCCTATGACCTTGGGCACATGTTGTTCAAGACCTCCTAAGGCTGTGTCACAGGCTCGACCTTAACCTTGGCAAAATAAACTTCTAAACTGATTGAGACCTGTCTCAGATACTTTTGGTTTACAGATCTGAGAGGAACTTGTCTGTTTACACTCTTGGGGTTCCATAAGGAAAAACAGAGGTTTCTCCCAAAAAGAAACCTGGCGCCTTCTCTGTTTTCTTAAAGGAATCCTAGGCTGTTAGGAACTATTTATGTCCTTCATGCAGCAGAGGGTGGTAAGAGGAAGGAGAGACAGGCAGAAGTAAATGGACAAAACAGAATTCAGTGGATTGAGAAGAAAAAAACCTTTTTCTCAAAAATCAAGAACCTAGGAGAGAAAAAAGTGTGTGTGTATATATATATGCTTATATGTGTGTGTGTATATATATCTTAGATATTAGCTTTTAGTTAAGCTGACTTAACCATTGAGCTCTTAAAAAATCCTTTTAAATCTCCTATTATCATATTTTTGCTGGGAAAAACTGCTGATAGTTTGAAAGTAACACAAATATCAAATTAGAAAGGACTTGACTTAGGAACCAAACCCAGGCTGTCACCATGTAAAAAACAAGAGGCAGAATCATAGCTACAGAACTACAGCACGGACAGCTGCCATTGCTCTGTCAGTTTGGGCTTGGCTAGCAAAAGGTGGCCTTGTCATGTAAATAAAACTCCTCAGATAGTCAAAATCTTCCCCTTCCCTTTCCCTTCTCTCTCTCTCTCTCTCTCTCGTTCTTTCATTCTCTCATTCTTTCTTTCTCTCTCTCCCTCTCTCTTTCTTTTTTTCTGTTTCTTTTTTTTTCAGCTGCAGGGATTTCGCAAATTCAGAGACCTTGTTTCCCATGATTTGGAACTTTCCTTTGGATTTGACCAAGTCAGGTAGAGTTGGTCAAACCCAATGGGAAAAAGATGGAAACTGACTTTACCCTGGGCCTGGAAGCTGGGGGTGGTGGAGGGTGGTGAATAACTCTGCCCTTCTCAGGCCCAGTCCCAAAGTAAAGACCACTTGCGCCAGCGGCATGCGTCAGCAAGATAACAGAAGCAGGAAGCAAGCTAGCTGGCTGGAAGGCAGGTACCCCCTGAAGACCGAGAGAAAGGCTGTCCGGGTACGGCGTAGCAGTTACATCAGACTGAGACACTTCCTGTTTACAGGAGACTATAAAATCTCTGCCCCATCCTCCTTAGGTGCTGAGCCATTTTAGGCCTCAGCCTGTCTGCCCCCACGCGGTGCGCCTTAAAACTGTGTTGCTCTACACCGCCTTGTGTTGTTTGTTGGCGACTCTCGAGGTTCGAACTGATACAAGAGCCATGCAGAAACAAACAAACAAACAAAAAAACAAAAACAGAAAGAAACAAATGAACAAAAATAAGCTAAGAGAAACAAACAATTGCACAGTTCATATGATTACTCAGCACTCTAATGGTAAGGAGAAATTAAGACCAGCTGGCTGTTAATCTTAACTTTTAGTCATTAAAAAGAATTTCCTGGCCGGGCCCGGTGGCTCACGCCTGTAATGCCAGCACTTTGGGAGGCCAAGACGGGCGGATCAGGAGGTCAGGAGATCGAGACCATCCTGGCTAACACGGTGAAACCCCGTCTCTATTAAAAATACAAAAAAATTAGCCAGGCGTAGTGTCAGGCGCCTGTAGTCCCAGCCACTCGGGAGGCTGAGGCAGGAGAATGGCATGAACCCGGGAAGTGGAGCTTGCAGTGAGCTGAGATTGCGCCACTGCACTCCAGCCTGGGCGACAGAGCAGCGAGACTCCATCTCGAAAAAAAAAAAGAATTTCCTAGAGAAAACCCCAATTCAGCTACTTACCTAAGAATGGGGCCCAGGCTGAAAACTGCTACCATCCTAGAAGCAGGAGAAGACTCAAACTTGCCTTCCCTGTTGGAAATGAGCTGAGACTCCCAGAAAGGAGTTGCCTGCCTTCCATTATCATGGAAGCAGGAAAACTCACCTTCCTTGTTGGGAAGCAAGTAAAACTCCAGAAGAGGCATACAGCAGAATGAATCTTACATACAGCAAATGTGCCATAAATCCCTTCTCTGGGAGAGTTTTATGGTCTTGAAGAAGACAGAAGGCCCACTCATACATATATAGACAAACGTTATCACACATTTTCCTATCTCCTATTTGTTCTCCTGAAAACTCCTTGTCTTTCTTAAATAACCTATTTGTTTCAACAGTCTTGCTCTGTCGTCCAGGCTGGTGTGCAGTGGCGTGATCTCAGCTCACTGCAACCTCCAGTTCCCAGGTTCAAGCGATTTTCCTGCCTCAGCCTCCCAAGTAGCTGGGATTACAAGTGTGCACCACTACGCCAAGCTAGTTTTTGTATTTTTAGTAGAGACGGGGTTTCACCATGTTGGTCAGGCTGGTCTTGAACCCCTGACCTCCTCTTGGCCCGCCTTGGCCTCCCAAAGTGTTGGGATTACAGGTGTGAGCCACCGCGCCCAGCCCAAAATAAATCTTAGATCTCAATCAACATTTGGATCAGAGGTTCTATGGAGGGGGGAAGGTCCCAGGCCTTAGAGAATTGTTCTATTGGTTTGAGCAATCAAGATAGCCCAAGCTGGTGCCAAGCACTGAAAGGAGATTTGTCAAACATCCGGGCCACTGCCACTCAGAGTCCCTTCTGTTGGTTGCCAACTTGTAAACCGAAAAATATCTGAGACAGGTCTCAATCAATTTAAGGACATGTTCTTAATCTTGGAAAAATAAACTTGTAAATTAATTGAGACCCATCTCAGATACTTTTTGGTTTACAGGGGAGAACATCCTCGCAGAGCTGAGTGGGGAAAACAGGTTCTGCCTTCTCCTTGTGTCTGCCCCCATAGGAACACCCCCATTTCCATAGCATGGGCTGCCATTTTACAGCTGATGGTTTTCACATCTATCTGTAGGGATCAATTCACTGCAATCTCTGACTCCCTGGTTCAAGGGATTCTCCTGTCTCAGCCTCCTGAGTAGCTGGGATTACAGGCACACGCCACCATGCCCAGCTAATTTTTGTATTTTTAGTAGAGACTGGGTTTCACCATGTTGGCCCGGATGGTCTCGATCTCCTGACTTCATGATCCGCCTGCCTAGGCCTCCCAAAGTACTGGGATTATAGGTGTGAGCCACCACTCCTGGCTACTCCTTGGAGCTTTATTTTCAACTGCCTAGATGGCGTAAGCACCTCAACTTTACCTGCCCAAATGCTAAGATCAAGGGAAGAATGAACTTCCCCCTATTTTCCACCTCCAGATAGTGGCATAGAAGAAGAGCCAGCCCCCACCCGCTAGCCCATGAATGCAATTGTGCATTTATAAGTGGTAATTTCAAAGCCTCTGCCGTTTCTTTGTGTGTGTAGCTGACAGCAGCCTTTAAGAAGTCTTGGCTCAACCTGGGACTCTTTCTTGTTCCTGGCAAGCCCTAGGGTGAGTGAAGTATTAGCTGAGGATTGGAGAGGTTGCCTTACAAACTATAGGGCTCTTACGAATGGTTTCCTTTCCTTTTTAGGGTTAAGCAGTACTATTTCTGAGAAGGAAAGTTTGCCCTTTGGAAATAGGTGGGTGTCTGATTCAGCAAATATAAGCTGGATTATCAGAAAAATGATCTGCAACTCACTTTGCTTGTGAGATTTTGAAGGGGTCTGGACTTCATGCACCAAAGCTCATGTGGCCAAAGGCCACCACACTCCCTGGCAGGAGCCCCCCAGGCATTAATCTAGATTCTAGATTCTAGACTTAGACTTGAGGGTGTACTGGGAAATGAACCTGGCTCACGACCCATGCCTCAGACAGTTCCTCTTCTAAGGTTAGGGTACACTTGGAGAGTGAGGACAGGAGGGGAACAAGGCTAAGAACTGGGACACCCTGAACAACCCTGTGAGAAGGGTTTGTTGTTTGAGGATAAAGAAGTTGGCAGTTCTAGATGAGGGTCTTAGGGGGTCCAGGCCCTGTTGAGAACTGGAGGGTAAAACAAGATTCAGTACAAATGCTGTTGGGAAGAAAAAACTTTTCCTCTACCCTCTTATGTTCAATACCTGGGGACATGCACATTAAACTAACAAAAGACAGATTAGCAAGAGAAGAGTTTATTCATGCCTGCAATGTACATACATCAGAAAATTCTCAGTAATGAGTAACTCAAAGGGGTGGTCAGAAGCAGGGGCTTATACACCTCATTTAGTAGAGGTAAGAAAGGAGGGAGAAAAGTCTCCTATAGGAGGAACAAATAGGTTTCTTTAGGAAAGACAAGGAGTTTTTAGGAGAACAAATAGGAGATAAGAAAGTGTGTGATAATGTCTGTCTATATATGTATGAGTGGGCCTTCTATCTTCTTCAAGATCATAAAACTCTCCCAGAGAAGGGATTTATGGTACATTTACTCTTTAAAAAAATTTTTTTTGTTTGAAACAGGGTCTCACTTTGTCACCCAGGCTGGAGTGCAGTGGTGTGATCTTGGCTTGCTGCAGCATCCATCTCCTGGATTCAAGTGATCCTCCTTCATCAGCTTCCCAAGTAGCTGGGACTACAAACATGCACCCAGCTAATTTTTATACTTTTTGTAGAGACTGGGTTTCACCATGTTGCCCATGTTGGTCTCAAACTCCTGAGCTCAAGCAATCTGCCTGCCTTCACCTCCCAAAGTGCTAGGATTACAGGCGTGAGCCACCATGCCCGGACTGGATTTACTCTTAATTTCTTTCCTGGGAGCAGACCTGCCACCAGACGGACTTTACATCAGTCTTCATTTCTCAGAAGTTTCTGCTTTTAATCACATAAAGGAAGCTACGAGAGGCTTCTTTCTACATCTGTTGAATTTCAGGTGTCTTTGGTTTAAAATAATCTTTATGTACACTCTAGAGTTCCAAGTTATTCCCCACCCCACATGGCTTGGTAGTTGCTCAATAAATGTTTTTAATGAATGAATGAATGAATGAACACAGTAGGGGTTAGGTAGAGAGGCTATTGTTTGATGGCCAAGCATGTGGCCCAGGGATTTGTACTGTTGCGGGAAGTCAGGGACCCTGAACAGAGGGACTGGCTGAAGCCATGGCAGAAGAACATAAATTGTGAAGATTTCATGGACATTTATTAGTTCCCCAAATTAATACTTTTATAATTTCTTATTCCTGTCTTTACTGCAGTCTCTGAACATAAATTGTAAAGATTTCATTGACATTTATCACTTCCCCAATCAATACTCTTATAATTTCCTATGCCTGTCTTTACTTTAATCTCTTAATCCCATCATCTTCGTAAAATGGGGATGTATGTCACCTCAGGATCCTGTGATGATTGTGTTATCTGCACAAATTGTTTGTAGAGCATGTGTGTTTGAACAATATGAAATCTGGACTTCCAAAAGGAAAAAGATGGCTGCGATTTTCAGGGAACAAGGGAGATAACCATTGGGCCTGACTGCCTGAGGGGCTGGACAGAACAGAGTCATATTTCTCTTCTTACAAAAGCAAACAGGAGAAATATTGCTGAATTCTTTTTCTCAGCAAAGAACAGCCCTGAGAAAGAGAATGCATTCCTAGGGGGCAGTCTTTAGAATGGCCGCTATAGAAGTGTCTGTCTTATACAGGTGTGGATAAGGGATGAAATAAGCCCCCGTCTCTTGTAGCGCCCCCAGGCTTATTAGGATGAGGAAATTCCTGCCTAGTAAATTTTAGACTGGTTGTCTGCTCTCAAACCCTGTCTCCTGATAAGATGTTATCAATAACAGTGCGTGCCCAGTGGGACATGAAACTTCATCAGCAATTCTAATTTCACTCTGGTCCTGTGATCTCACTCTGCCCCCATTTGCCTTGTGATATTTTATTGCCCTTGAAGCATGTGATCTCTATGACCCATACCCTATTTGTACACCCCTCCGCTTTTAAAATCCATAATAAAAACTTGCTGGTTTTGCAGCTCAGGGGGCATCATGGAACCTGCTGACATGTGATATCTCCCCCGGACACCAAGCTTTAAAATTTCTGTCTTTTGTACTCTTTCCCTTTATTTCTCAGACTGGCTGACACTTAGGGAAAATAGAAAAGAACCTACGTTCTTTTCTGTCCTATTGGGGGCTGGTTCCCCTGATATGGACAGCAGATGAAGTCTAAATTTCCCCCTTTGGTGGGGGGGTTGTCCCATACAGCCAAGCTGGGACCCCACTGGACTCAGTGGTATATCTGAAAAGTGGCAGAGGCTGGGTCAACCAACTCTTTCACTTGGCGACTCCATCATTCTTGACATCTGCTAGGACTCAGGAGTTGAGTTCTAAAAGGCTTTGAGGCCAGAGCTATAGAGCAGTAGGTTTGGAGCAAGGAGTCAGAAATTTTAAGCTGCTGCTCAGTTCATTGACATGGTTGACTTTTTCTTGGATAAAATGGGAAAATAAGTGTCTGACAAGTTCTCCTGGGCTGCTGGCTTGAAAAGGGGAACAGTGGGTGGGAGAAAGAGGGCATTCACCTCCTAAACAGGTCAGGTATCTTTGCATTGAAAAGGCCCCCATGCAGGGCCAGCCACGGTGGCTCATGCCTGTAATCCCAGCACTTTGGGAGGCTGAGGGGGGTGGATCACCTTAGGACAGGAATTCTAGATCAGACTGGCCAACATGGTGAAATCTCTACTAAAAATACAAAAATTAGCCAGGCATGGTGGCAGGTGCCTGTAATCCCAGCTACTTGGGAGGCTGAGGCAGGAGAATTGCTTGAACCTGGGAGGTGGAGGTTGCAGTGAGCCAAGATTGCACCACTGCACTCTAACTTGGGTGACAGAGTGAGACTCTGTCTCAAAAAAAAAAAAAAAAAGAAAAGAAAAAGAAAAAGAAAAAGAAAAAAAAGGCCCCCATGGCTTAAAGAGAGGCATTTCCAGTTGAGGGATGAAGAAGGAGGGCGGTATTGGAGAGGCTGGGTGTTGGGTAGGGATTAGCCAGCAACAAATCTTCCTGGACTTGTGGTTCACTGCCTACCCCTCAACCCTGCCCATTCTGGGGCTCTTGCTCTTGGGTTTGATTTCCAACAAAGAACTTGATGTTCTTCCGGAAATGGCCTTACTGTGGACTCAGGCATGAGATGAGTTGTCCAGATGTCCAGCTGGCCCAGTTAGAAAGGTTTTGAGCAGAGCCCTATAAAAATAAATCTTTCTAATGTATTTCTTCCACATCCTTCTTATTCTGCAACTAAATACCCAACTCAGGCCTGAGTGTGTTCCTTTATCCACAGGAGATTCAGGCTCCTAGAACTGTTCTGGGCCAATAGATGCCACTGATCATCTGGGAAAGAGGAGAGGAAATGACCTTGTATCAATGAAATAAATGTGTCTGAGCAACAGCTCAGCAAAGGTCATCAGCCAGATAAAATGTGAAACTGGGGCTCAAATCCAAATCTCAGGCTCTAAATCTTTCTGTGCAACACCCAGCTGCCTGTCTCCAAACAGCAGACACACTGGGTGAGAAGACATACCAAGGCACCACCCAACTGTGAATAGGAGACCACTGGCTGCTTCCAAGTGTCAGGGCTGCAGGATTTCAAAGAAGGAAACTAGTCAGACTGGAGGGAGTGGCCAGAGGAATTCAGTGGAGGACAGTAGTCAACAGAAACCCAACTGAACTATGGAAATCACATCAAGGAGCCTCAGAATTTGACCCACCCATTTGGTTTCAGTGAGAAAACACGTTTACATTTTTAAACTGAAGGCATATTTATTCCCCAGCACTGGCCTCTGGCCCTTAGCCTCTGGATTAGAAACAAAAGGCGGTTGTTTGGTCCCTGGACTGGGATGTTTGCTCTGATTGTGATGTATGCTCAGAGCATCTGGTTTGGGATAGGGGGTGTGCATTTGGAGGGTGTGAGTGTGCGGCTGCCATCCTGTTTTGCTCAAGCTCATGTGATGTCTGTGTTGGAGAATACTGGAAAGTGGAGGAGGAAGAGCTGGCCTGGAGAACCTCTTCCCTCCTTTCCAAATCGATGGAGTTAGGCAGTGTTGACACATACTTGTAAGCCCGCACCTTAGAGAAAATGTCACTTGGCCCCATGATCCCTCTCACTGTCCTGACACATGCCTTTTGCTTAAATTCCTCCAATCACAGGGACTCACCCCCAACAAGAGCAGTTCACCTCTCTTTGGAGAGCACTTCCTCTCCTGTATACATCTGCTGTTCTGTTGTCTCCACACTTAGCTTCTGGTTCTTCCATGAGGGGATAGTCATTCTATTCATTCAACAAATATCCAAATATCCTTTTTCTTTTCTTTTCTTTTCTTTTTTTGGAGATAGAATCTTGCTCTGTCACCTAGGCTGGAGTGCAATGTCATGGTCTCGGCTCACTGCAACCTCCACCTCCCGAGTTCAAGTAATTATCCTGCCTCAGCCTCCCAAGTAACTGGGATTACAGGTGCGCATCACCTTGCCTGGCTAATTTTTTTTAAATTTTTAGTAGAGACGGGGTTTCACCTTGTTGGCCAGGCTGGCCTCGAACTCCTGAACTCAGGTGATTCGCTGGCCTTGGCCTCCCAAAGTGCTGGGATTACAGGCATAAGCCACCATGCCTGGCTCATTCAACAAATATCTTAGAGGTACTTCCATCATGCTGGGCCCCACATCCAGTCTTGGAGATAAGGAGCTCACCTAGCAAGGATAGATAGGTAACAGGCAACTTATTTCAATATAGGCACCATCATCCACTTAGTTTTTCAGGCCAGAACCTGGGTAGCATCCTTGATTCCTGTATACTTAACCCCACACATCCTACCCACCAGCAAGTCTTGTTGGTTCTATTTCCAAAATACATACGGTATTCTTCCTCTTTCTTCCAACTCCGCTCCTTTACTCCTGGCCCAAATGACCCTTGTTTATCTTCTGGACCACTGTACTAGCCTCCTAATTGGCTTTTGGGCTTCTCCCCCGTCTCCATAGAACCCATTCTTCACATAGCAGCCAGAACCATCTTTTAAAACTATTGGCACTCTCCTCCTTAAAGTCCTTTAATAGAATTTTAAAAAATGTAAGCTTTGTATGAAGTTCAACATATCTTCAAAACATGACACAAATCACAACTATACACCCTGGTGACTTTTCACAAAGTGAATACACCCATGTAACTAGCCCTCAGAACTGGAATGTTTCCAGCCTCCCGACCCCCCAGGAGCCCCACTTGTACTTCTACATCACTAGTTTTCCACCAAGATTAACCACTATTTTGACTTCTAAACCATTGATTACTCTTGCCTGCCTCTGACCTTTGTATACATGGAACCACAGAACATGTCCTCTTTTGTGTCTGGTTTCTTTTGCTCAACATTCTGTTTATTGAGGTAATGGTAAACAAAGTGGATTTGATTGTATATGCGAAACAAAAACAAAACAAAACAAAACACATAAAATCCACTGGAGGGGTACAAACATTTTGGAACACTGGCAGCATCTACTCAGCTAAGTATGTGTGTGCTTTATGATTCAGCAATTCCTAGGTAACCACTCAACAGATATGTAGGCATATGCTCACCAAAAGACATGTACAAGAATGTTACAGGCCTAGGCTAGAAATAACCAGATAGGCGTTATTATTACTCCATGTTACAGGTTAGGAAACTGAGGCTCAGGCAGAGATTGAGGAACTTGCCTAAGATCACCTACTTGGTATATGGCAAAACCAGCCTTCAAACCCAGGCTGACAAAGTCCTGCCAGGGCTGGCCCTTGTCTGACTCCATGCCTCTTGGGTTCTACTCTCCTGCCCTCATTCTCTTGATCAATCAGCCAGGCTTGTGCCTTTCTCAAGGCGTTTTTTTGTTTTTATTTTTATTTTTTATTTTTTTGAGACGGAGTTTTGCTCTGTTGCCCAGGCTGGAGTGCAGTGGCACTATCTCGGCTCATGGCAACCTCTGCCTCCTGGGTTCAAGCAAGCATGTCTGGTTAATTTTTGTAGTTTTAGTAGAGACAGGATTTCACCATGTTGGCCAGGCTGGTCTCGAACTCCTGACCTCAAATGATCTACCTGCCTCAGCTTCCCAAAGTGCTGGGATTACAGGCATGAGCCACTGCACCCGGCCGCATCTTTCTATATTCCTTTTTATTTGGGTAATTTTCTTTCAGCATATTTGTCCAAAGCTGAATACTTGTGTAACTGCCCAAGAGGTTCACCTTGCCCACTGCCTAGACAGAGCCAATTCATCAAGAAAGGGGAATTGCAATAGCTAAAGAGTAATTCCTGCAGAGCCAGCTGTGCTGGAGACCGGAGTTTTATTATCACTCAAATCAGTCTTCCCAAGCATTCAGGGAACAGTGTTTTTAAGGATAACTTGGTGGGTGGGGGGATGCCAGTGAACCAGGAATGCTGATTGGCCAGGGATGAAATCATAGGGAGTTGTGGCTGTCTTCTTGTGCTGAGTCAGTTCCTGGGTGGGAGCCAGAAGATCAGATGAGCCAGTTTATTGATCTGGGTGGTGCCAGCTGATCCATCCAGTGCAGGGTCTGCAAAATATCTCAAGCACTGATCTTAGGAGCAGTTTAGGGAGGGTCAGAATCTTGTAGCCTCCAGCTGCATGACTCCTTAACCATAATTTCAAATCTTGTGGCTAATGTTAATCCTACAAAGGCAATCTAGTCCCAGGCAAGAATGAGGTCTGCTTTGGGAAAGGGCTGTTACTGTCTTTGCTTAAACTATAAACTAAGTTTCTCCCAAAGTTAGTTCAGCCTATGCCCAGGAACGAACAAGGACAGCCTGGAGGTTAGAAGTAAGATGGAGTCAGTGAAGTTAGATCTCTTCCACTGTCTCAGTCATAATTTTGCAAAGGTGGTTTCCATCCCTCCCTTTGGTTTTATAACACCTTAATCTTAAGGTGTAGGCTATGAAGATGGGAAAAGGCCGTTGATCACTCTGGCTTCTTTCTGCTGACAGGGAATGTAGTGGGAATGGGAGTGAACCCCAAGGTGAGAAGAATGGAACTACTTTGCAATTGTCTGAGTATACTCATGCAGGCCTGGTTGAGCTTCTGAGGCTTGCGTGGCAAAAACATTAGTACTCTCATCTATAGTTTTACTACAGTGTTTAAGTGAACAGCCTACTGTAAGGTAAATAATAAGTCCTAGGATGAAGAGTACAATTCTAAATTTTAAAAGCAAAGATTTGAAAACGTTAGTTTGGGGACTTCTAACCCATAAAGAATTTAGAATTTAGTCTAAACTGCAGGAAAAACCTCAAGAACAGCTAACAGTGTACTATAGTTTTTCTTCTGAAGCATAATTTTTCTCTCTCCAGTCCCCATTTTTATTAAAAACCTATTATGATGGAACTGATTTGTTTATAAAATAAACTTTAGCCTTACTGTACTCAGCCTGATTATTTACATAAAGTGAAGCAAAAATAATTATTTTCCACTTAGGCTTTTAAAAATTGGCTTTAATAGAACTCTGTTCCATGAGGAATCTCAGATAAGACTTTTTAATAGCCGAGCCCAGCCATGGGTTTGTACCCTCAAATACCTATGAGTTGGGCAAATTCCTCTCCTCTTGGGGTCCCAAGGTAACTTGGGGTTCCTGGGCCAGTTAGAAAGTGACATTCTTTACTTATCACAGGTCAGGAACCCTGCACAGGGACTCTATTGTGGACAGGGCATGAGGCCAGATGCCCTAATGGGCTTTAATTGGCTTTATAAGTCAACTTTGATTCCTTAAAAGAAGCATGCCATTCCAGTCAAAGCCTTCATAAAATAACCAATTTCTCCAATTGTGTCCTGTTACAAAAGAAAACAGATTCTTATTGCACTTATGCAATTAACTATGCTGCCATAAATTGAGAATACTCACAAATAGTTTCCAAATTCTGGAGAAATAAAGTAGAGAGGAATAAATATGCTCCAAATTTTGTTCACAGGAGTATATTTTACTCAGTTGTTGAAAGTTGCAAATAGCTCTAAAGAAATAAGTTCTCTTGACTCTGAAAACAAAAGGTTTAGCAATATTTAACACATTAGCTCTCCCTGAGAGTCCTAGAAGTTTGTTTTCTTCCTCTATTCCAATAGCACAATTTTTAAACTTATCTGAGACCTGCACTGAGAGTCCTATATCTGATTATAAACTGTGTTTTGAAAAGGACTAAAGTAGGCTCGGTGCGGTGGCTCATGCCTGTAATCCCAGCACTTTGGGAGGCTGAGGAATGTGGATCATGATTTCTGGAGTTCAAGACCAGCATGGCCAAGATGGTGAAACCCCGTCTCTACTAAATATACAAAAAATTAGCCAGGCTTGGTAGCGGGCATCTGTAATCCCAGCTACTTGGGAGGCTGAGGCAGAGAATTGCTTGAACCCGGGAGGCGGAGGTTGCAGCGTGCCAAGATTGCACCACTGCCTTCCAGCCTGGGCGACAGAGTGAGACTCTGTCTCAAAAAAAAAAAAAAAAAAAAAAAAAAGAAGTAAAGAAGAGGACCAAAGTAAGACAAAAGATCTGTGGATGACAAAAGTCTATAGCCACTATTAAAGCTACAATTGACTAGGAATTTTGGTTACTTCTGTGGCATACAACAATTTTACATAACAATTATAATTATTGATAATGTATGCTAAATTATCTCAACATTATAGAAGTTTCCCATAATTTTGGAACACATACCAATAACATATTTAAACAAACACAGTCCAAAGAAAACGAAACACCATTCACTCTTCTATTTGAAGGGTTTTTTTCTATTCTAATGTCACAATCTCCCAGAGTTATTCATCAGAAATCTGCATTTAGGAGCACCTGTTAAATTTTACAGTTGACTATAAAATCATCTTTTAAAGAGGACCAAAGTGAGATAACAATTGTCTGGGATGACAAAAACATTTTAGGGCACCACAGTTAAAGGCAAAATTGACAAGGAAATTTACCTCTGTGGCACACAGTCATTTAACATAATAATTATAATTATTACTGATAAAACATACTAAGTCATATTTGAGTTACAGCAGTTTTACATAATTTTGGAACATATACCAACAACACATTTACACAAATATAGACCAAAGAAAGCCAAACACCATTTCATATTTGACAATGCTTCCTGTATGATTTTTGTACCAAATAAGCCAAATGTCATTTTTGGACTTTAGAGGACCTAATATCTAAAATACTGGGCTACAAAGAGACATAATCTATAATTTGATTTTGGAAAGTTTGTTAAATATCAAAGGCTTAAAACACTGGATATCACAAAAGAGAATCCCAGGTCACTATAAGTTATTCATTTGCCCAAAATGATAACTCCAAAAAGAAGTTTTAAAAAGAAAGCCTTTACTCTGAGAGAGGAGACTTAGCTTTCCAAACAAGACCCAATAAAGATAGTATGAGGCTAACTAAATTTGTCTCTTCTCTCTTTTCCCTTTTTTCCCTGCCATTTACCCAAAGGAGAAAACAAAACCATTTCATTATCTTTTATCATTACATAAAAATCATTTTCAAAAGAGAAAACCAAATTTCATGTTTGCTTTAGTGCATCTTTAATGTTAAGGCTAGTTTCCTAAATAAAATTTTATATCTCTATTCAGTTGTAATTAGTTTGACCATAAGGTAAGGTTTTCTAGAACCCTTTACAATTTTCCATCAAACAGCAGATCAATTTTCTAAGAAAACTGTGTTATTCAGACACATGGGCCCAAATTCTGGTCCCAAAACAGTATCATTTTAAAGTTTTAACCTATAGAAAAAAAGCTAAATAATTTCTTTTAAATCTCAGCCAACTTGTTTATACCCACAGAATTTTTTTTATAAGATTAACCATTTACTAACCCTTTCACTTTGCGTAAACCTTCAGTTTTGTTCCATTACTCTTTTAGGTTAAGACAATCTTTATTTTATTTTATATATTTTTTGAGATAAAGTTTTGCTCTTGTTGCTCAGGCTGGAGTGCAGTGGCGTGATCTTAGCTCACCACAACCTCCACCTCCCAGGTTCAAGTGATTCTCCTGCCTCAGCCTACCAAGTAGCTGGGATTACAGGCATGTGCCACCATGGTCAGCTAATTTTGTGTTTTTAGTAGAGATGGGGTTTCTCCATGTTGGTTAGGCTGGTCTTGAACTCCTGACCTCAGGTGATCTGCCCACCTAGGCCTCCCAAAGTGCTGGGATTACAGGCATGAGCCACTGCACCCTACAAGACAATCTTTAAAACCCTCTGAACTAGACAAAATTACATTCCCTTTAACAAAGCCATATTCCCATACCTTCTTATAATCTTTTACCAAAAACACATTTCCTACACACCTTGTATGTAAAACTGTTTCTCCAGTGGTCTCAATTACATGTTACAATGTTAACTCTTAGCAACTTTTATTTTTAGTCAGAAGCTTGATAAGTAAGCAATTTTAATTATGTACTGGGGTGGAGCCTAGGACATCAGACAGAAATGAAAATAAGGCCTGACTCTTTAGCATAGCTAGCAGGCATGGCTCTCCACATGTCCCCAGGCCTTATCTATCACCTAATGCTCCAAAGTAGGTAAATTGAACAATTTTCAAAAGTCAAAGAAACAGTTTGACCTTAAAGCATTTAGCAAATCTGATATCTGACCTTAATTTAGACCAAATATCTACGTTTTCAAGACCTTTTATTTTACGAATAATCTTTTTTTTTTTTGAGATGGAGTCTTGGCTTGTGGCCCAGGCTAGAGTGCAATGGCATAATCTTGGCTCACTACAACCTTCACCTCCCGAGTAGCTGGGATTACAGGCATGCACCACCATGCCCGGCTAATTTTTTTATCTTTAGTAGAGATGGTGCTGAGACCAGCTTGGCTGGGGAGACCCTAACCCAGAGGTGCTAGAGAAATTAAAGACACACACACAGAAATATAGAGGTGTGAAGTGGGAAATCAGGGGTCTCACAGCCTTCAGAGCTGAGAGTCCCGAACAGAGAGATTTACCCACGTGTTTATTAACAGCAAGCCAGTCATTAGCATTGTTTCTATAGATATTAAATTAACTAACAGTATCCCTTATGGGAAACGAATGGATGGGCCAAATTAAAGGAATAGTTTGGGCTAGTTAACTGCAGCAGGTGCATGTCCTTAAGGCACAGATCACTCATGCTATTGTTTGTGGCTTAAGAATGCCTTTAAGCGGTTTTCCGCCCTGGGCGGGCCAGGTGTTCCTTGCCCTCATTCCAGTAAACCCACAACCTTCCAGCGTGGGCTTTATGGCCATCATGAACATGTCACAGTGCTGCAGAGATTTTGTTTATGGCCAGTTTATGGCCAGATTTTGGGGGGCTTGTTCCCAACAAGATGGGGTTTCACCATGTTGGCCATGCTGGTCTCGAATCCCTGACCTTGTGATCCGCCCATCTCAGCCTCCCGAAGTCCTGAGATTACAGATATTACCAATAATCTTTAAAACTGTCTTTATTTCCAAAAGGTTACTAACATCACATGAACAAAAAGGCATTAAAGTTTCCATTTTTGTGACAAAATATTTAAGCCCTTATTTTTCTAAGCCAATTCATCAGAGCTCTTTTACATATAAACCTCACAGACAACACATATAAATACAGACAGAAGATACGGCACTTGTAAGATTTTTCATTTGCCAGTTTCTTAATTGGATT
Organism: Homo sapiens; assembly: GCF_000001405.40. NCBI lineage: Eukaryota > Metazoa > Chordata > Mammalia > Primates > Hominidae > Homo > Homo sapiens. The sequence goes on along the minus strand of NC_000015.10, from coordinate 88,924,671 downwards.
ACTGGCTTCAGGGTGGAGGCTGTGGAGGAACAGGGCCAGGAAAGCATGCGTTTCTAGGGCCAAACAAGCAGCAAATAAGTAGCTGAAGACAAAGACAGATCCCCAGAATTAAGGGTGCCATTTTATACTGGACCTTCGATCCCCAAAAGGAGGGAAATACTATGGGAGAAGACCATGCAGTGCTTCTTTTTTTGAGATGGAGTTTTGTTCTTGTCATCCAGGCTGGAGTGCGGTGGCAAGATCTCCACTCACTGCAACCTCCACCTCCTGAGTTCAAGCGATTCTCCTGCCTCAGCCTCCTGAGTAGCTGGGATTACAGGCGCCCGCCACCACGCCCGGCTAATTTTTGTATTTTTAGTAGAGACGGGGTTTCACCATGTTGTGAACTCCTGACCTCAGGTGACCCACCCACCTCGGCCTCCCAAAGTGCTGGGATTACAGTCATAAGCCAATGTGCCTGGCTGACAGTGCAGTGCTTCTACCCTGCATTTCATTACAAGGCAACCCAAAGCCAATGAGCCCATTTTGTCATCAGCACATCCCTCATGGGAGTCTCATCTCTCAGTCAGGGGTGGGGATGTTTTCTTATCTTCCAGGCGGCCAAGAGCACGCTTCTCTGATCCAAGTGTGCAGAGTCAAGTATTCCTCCGTAACTACTATTAGCCATCCTTACAGTATATTTCCTACTTAGTTATTACACACCAAAGCTCTCTCATAATGCGAAGTAATTTCTGATATCCCCCAAACTCAAAACTGTCAGATAACACAATGCAAAACAGAACAGAGCCTTTGATTTTGAGAGAGATCTATCTGCTTTTGCTTCCTGGGTTTCATGAGGAAAACAGAAGTTTTTTTTGTTTTTGTTTTGTTTTGTTTTGTTTTCCCAAAATGGGGTCTGTGGTGCCTCCTCTGTTTTTCCCCAATGAGTCCCAGACTAGCAGAAGTTATCTTAGGGCCTCTCATGTATGCATTAAGAGTGGCAAGACAAAAAAAAAATTGAGAAAAATAATTCAGTCGACTGAGAAGAAAAAATCTTTTTCCAGAAAAACAAGTTCCAAGAAGAGAAAAACATAAAGGCCTTTAAATATACTTAGAGCTTGTTTATCCACTTTTAATTAAGCTGACTTTTAGCCATAGCACTCTTACAAAAAAAATCCTTTAAAATTTTTTTATTACCTGACTTTAGCCATGCCAAGCGGCCGATATTTTTGGCTCTTGAAGTCTATCACAGGTAACTTCCCACATGAAATTAACCCGTTTTAACTAAGGTTACAACTTAACCATGACACATAGGTGTCTCAAAGGGATGGTAAGCAGTTTCTTTTCCTTTTCCTTCTTTTTTTTTTTGTTTTTACAAAATTTAGAATCTCCCCCAGGGTAGTTTAGAGAAAAAAAAATTCAAGACAGGGAATCAGAAGCTATCCATGGGGTGGAGGGAAACCTCAGTAAATGGCAAAGTAACATAAATAAAAAACCAGAAAAGAATCATTCTGGAAGGCAAGAATAGAACCCAGGCTGCCATTGTCAAAAAGCAAAGCCTTAGCTCCTGAGTTAGAGCAATGAGCAATTTCTATTGCTTTTCCCAAAAGGATCCTAGAGAAGTCAATTTCAAGCTTGCAAAGGCTTTTAACCGCTCAAGATAATTTTTAGGGCTAACTATGACATGAACCTCAAAATTCCTGTCCTCTCGATGGTGGGAGTGGGAGCCAAGAGAAAGTATACCTACATGGTCACAAGGTTAAATTAAGCTCTTAAGGACACAAGACAGACATTTCTTTCTTTCTTTCTTTCTTTTTTTTTTTTTGAGACAGAGTCTTGCACTGTCACCCAGGCTGGAGTGCAGTGGCCTGATCTCCGCTCACTGCAACCTCCACCTCCTGGGTTCAAGCGATTCTCCTGCCTCAGCCTCCCAAGTAGCTGGGATTATAGGTACCTGCCACCATGCCCGGCTAATTTTTTGTATTTTTAGTAGAGACAGGGTTTCGCTATGTTGGCTAGACTAGTCTTGAACTCCTGATCTTGCGATCCACCCGCCTTGGCCTCCCAAAGTGCTGGGATTACAGACATGAGCCACCGCACCCGGCCTATACAAGACAGAAATTTCATACAGTATTGGTTTCAGAGACCCGTCCGTAGCAAAGTTTGTAACTGACCTGCTTTTGTCTGGCTTGAAAAGCGGGCTGATAGACGTCCTAAACTCACATTCTATCCTGTGATGCCCCTCTCTCCGTTACAGAACACAGAAAGACAAATTCTTAGCACAAAGTACACCAGATTTGCTACTGCCTAAGACTAGTCTCACAAATCCTTTTTCTATTAATCAGACCCTTGCAGAGAGACAAATAGTGATGTTTACCATTTACCCAGACAGAGAAACAGAGAGAGACCAGAAACTTGGCTGGTAAGAATTTCTTACCCTGTTTTGCCAGCATACCAGGTTTCTGGACTCTCTTTCTCAACGGAGCGGCTTCTGATGATCCTGCTCACTGTGCCATAGCTGTGGGGTTCAAGAGAAAATCACCATTCACCGTTTTATGGAACCATAGGCAAGATTCTTAATTTGCAAGATGCTGCCCAACAGGCTGCACGGGGAATGGAATTAACATTTTCCATCCCAGCAAAACACACCTAATAAAATGAACAGTAGTCACCTCGTTCAGCACCCAATATCAACCTGGCAAAGCTCAAACTTTTTCCCCATTGATCCCTGTTGTCTTTGATCCATTCCAGGTGGGAAGGGATGACCTCTGAATGGTAATTCACAATGGGATCTCTGGGCAAGGCAAAGAGCAGATAGTCACCTCAAGAGACAGGTCTGTTGAGCCTTCTTTAGGGCTCATGGAATGTGACCAGACAAATAAGTGGGGTTCTCTGAGTTAGGCCCCTTCCATCATCAATTCCTTTTGAGATCCCTTCCACATTTACAAACATACACAAAGATGAGATGGACGGAAGGCCTTCCAAATCATATTGCTAACCGAGAACTCCAAGAGTATCCCTTCCAAACTATCCTCCTATTCTCCATCTGAGAAACCTCCTTGAAATCTTCCTGATTGAGAAGTCTCTCAAACCAGGACTCTTCCTACTAGTTAGAAAAAGCCAACTGAGACCACCCAGGAGCCGAACAGACACCCTGCAATGGGGCTACAGACACAGACACCCCATGGTGGAGCTACGGACAACCCCCATAGGGCTACAGAACCAGTCGGGAAAAGGAAGGAGGCATTGGTAGCGCCTAGGATACTCGCCAGTCCAGACACCCCACCATGGGGCTACAGAAAGACACCCTGTGATAGGGCTACAGTTAAAGGACATCTCCCCAGGACTATTTCTCCATTGCAACTAAACCCATGCACATTAGGTCGGCAGCACCCCGCCAGTAGAGAGAGTACCAGAGAATGAGTAATTCATGCAGAGCTGGCTGTGCAGGAGAGCGGAGTTTTAGTATGACTCAAATCAGTCTCCCTGAGCATTCAGGGAGCAGAGGTGTTTTTTTTTTTTTTTTTTTTTTGAGACGGAGCCTTGCTCTGTCACCAGGCTGGAGTGCTGTGGTGCGATCTTGGCTCACTGAAACCTCTGACTCCCTGGTTCAAGCTATTCTCCTGCTTCAGCCTCCCGTGTAGCTGGGATTACAGGCACATGCCACAGTGCCCAGCTAATTTTTTTTTTTTTTTTTTTTGTATTTTTAGTAGAGACAGGGTTTCACTACGCTGGCGAGGATGGTCTCGATCTCCTGACCTCGTGATCTGCCTGCCTCGGCCTCCCAAAGTGCTGGGATTACAGGTGTGAGCCACCATGCCTGGATCAGGGGGCAGAGTTTTTAAGGATAACTTGGTGGGTGGGGGGAAGCCAGTGAGCCAGGAGTGCTGATTGGCCAGGGATGAAATCATAGGGAGTTGCAGCTGCTTCTTGTGCTGAGTCAGTTCCTGGGTGGGGGCCACAGGATCGGATGAGCGAGTTTATTGACCTGGGTGGTGCCAGCTGATCACATCCAGTGCAGGATCTGCAAAGTATCTCAAGCACTGATCTTGGGAGCAGTTTAGGGAGGGTCAGAATCTTGTAGCCTCCAACTGCATGACTCCTAAACCATAATTTCTAATATTGTGGCTAATCTTAGTCCTAAAAAGGCGATCTAGTCCCCAGACAAGAATGAGGTCTGCTTTGGGAAAGTGCTGTTACTGTCTTTGTTTAAACTATAAACTACGTTTCTCCCAAAGTTAGTTCCGCCTACGCACAGGGATGAACAAGGACAGCTTGGAGGTTAGAAGAAGCAAGATGGAGTCAGTTAAGTTAGATCTCTTTCACTGTCTGAGTCATAATTTTGCAAAGGCGGTTTCACCTGGTCGAGTTTTGTAGCTTTTGTTACAGACTGTGATCCAGAAACACTGAACCAACTTATAGTTCCGTCAATTAGGCATAAATGTATTTATTTTCCCCATAGCCCCATTCATTGACTAAGTTTTATCAGTTTAATTGATTTTTGTTAAGTCTCTGGAAAACAGAATATGTTCTGTGCGTGTGTGTGTTGGGGGCGGTAGCGGGGACTAGCTAAAGAGTGAAGGTATCTCTGGTTTCCCTGCTTTTTTCTTTTCTTTTCTTTTTTGAGACAGGGTCTCACTCTGTCACCTAAACTGGAGTGCAGTGGTGTAATCTTGGCTCACTGTAACCTCCGCCTCCCCGGCTCAAGCAGTCCTCCCACCTCAATCTCTCCAGTAGCTGGGACCACAGGCGCAAACCACTGCACTTGCCTGATTTTTGGTAGAGATGCGGTTTCACCATGTTGCTTGCCCAGGCTGGTCTCAAACTCTTGGGCTGAAGGAATCCCCCTGCTTCAGCCTCCCAAAGTGCTGCGATTATAAGTGTGAGCCACTGCGCCCAGCCTTCCCTGCCATTTATATAACAAAAACCTGAAAGTTTTCAATGGCCTGCCTGTTTAATATGATCACAGTACGATACTATTGTTAGAAAATCTAACCAAATTCTGGCCAGGTGTGGTGGCTCATGCCTGTAATCCCAGCACTTTGGGAGGCCGAGGTGGGTGGATCACTTGAGGTCAGGAGTTCGAGACCAGCCATGACCAAAATGGCAAAACCCCGTGTCTATTAAAAATACAAAAATTAGCTGGGCGTAGTGGCACAGGTCTATATTCCCAGCTACTTGGGAGGCTGAGGCAGCAGAATCACTTGAACCCAGGAGGTGGAGGTTACAGTGAGCTGAGAGCCACTGCACTCCAGCCTGGGTGACAGAGTGAGACTCTGTCTCAAAAAAAAAAAAAAAAAGAAAGAAAAGAAAAGAAAATCTAACCAAATCCTATAATGCTATGATGCTCTCGTACTGGATAAGAAAAATGTTCAAGCCAAGGAGATGCCATCCCACTGAACTCTATAAAGATAAAATCATAGAGGAAAATCCCCTTCCTCTCCATGCCTCCCCTCCCCTGTTAAACCCCCTTGTAAACTCCTGGTCCCCAAACCTAGGTCTTTCGTTTCTTCTCACAGTGGGTTTATCCAGTAGTTCTCATCCTAGTTGTACATTAGCCTCATCTGAGGAACTTAAAAAACACTGATGCCCAGGCCCCACCTCAGTGATTCTGATTTGATTCCTCTGGGTGGAGCCTGGTCATCTGTGTTTGAAGAATCTTCCCAAGTGAGGCTAGTCTGCAGCTGAGGTTTCCAGTCATAAAGCTAACCACAGTCAGTGCTCAATGCATGTTTCTTGAATGACTCAATGATTAAATGTGTCTTAATTGGGTAACTGTGCAGTTGTTTCACGTGGGTGGCAGAAAGCCAGTGAGGGCGATTAGGAAGTTCCGTTCTGCAAGAGTAAGTGGCATTAACTGGTAAGGGTGCTATGCTCGCAGCATTCTCTACCTGCCATCTGAGATGGATTTCTGAAGTGTTGTATTTATTTTTTATTGAAATAAAATTCACATAACCAAAAATACACTCTTAAGATGTACAGTTCAGAGGCTGGGCACAGTGGCTTATGCCTGTAATCCCAGCACTTTGGGAGGCGGAGGCCAGCGGATCACGTGAGGTTGGGAGTTCGAGACCAGCCTGGTCAACATGAGGAAACCCCGTCTCTACTAAAAATACAAAAATTAGCTGGGTGTGGAGGCACACGTCTGTAACCCCAGCTACTTGGGAGGCTGAGGCACAAGAATTGCTTGAACCTGGGAGGCAGAGGTTGCAGTGAGCCAAGATTGAGCCACTGCACTCCAGCCTGGGTGACAGAGCGAGACTCCATCTCAAAAAAAAAAAAGTACAGTTCAGTGGTTTCTAGTATGCTCACAAGGTCATACAACCATTATCACTAAGTTCAAAACATCTTCATCATCCCCCAAAAGGAACTCTGTATCTACGAACAGTATTCCTCATTCTCCCCTCACCCCAGCCCCTGGCAACTGCTTATCTAACATTGGTCTCTATAGATTTGCCTTTTCTGGACATTTCATAGAAAAGGAGTAATACACAACATGGTCTTTGTGACTGGCTTCTTTCACTTAGCATAATTTTTTGTTTGTTTGTTTTTTGAGATGGTGTTTTACCTTCCCAAAGTGCTGGGATTACAGGCGTGAGCCATCGCACCTGGCTTTACCAGTGTTTTTATTTGTTTACTATGTATGTATCATTAATTTAACCCCAGAGGGTGACTGGTGAGCCTTCTTGGCTCAACCCTGAAGACCATGAGGGAGCCTGTGGTTTGGGGATGGGTCATATGTCCCTGAGCAGGGCAGCTTCCTTCTCTGGGAGAAGGCTTGGTCACAGGGAGGCGACTGAAAGTAACACTGCTGATGGATCTCTTTCTACATAAAAGGTGCTGGGCTAGGGTGACAAGAATACATATGACATTATTCCATATACCAGGACTTACAATCGAGTGACAGGTATTGCGACCATCATTCCAATATGAGGCAAAGTTTGATAAGAACTATAGGAGAGACTGCAAATTTAAGAGAGACAGGTTGGGAACAGTAAATTCTAATTAGAAGACTTGATTATTATAGCTTTGTAGTAAGTTTTGGAATTGAGAAATGTTAGTCTTTCAATGTTGTTCTTTTTTTTTCCTCAAGATTGTTTTGGCTATTCTGGGTCCCTTGCATTTCCGTGTGATTTTTTTTTTTTTTTTTTTGAGACAGAGTCTCGCTCTGTCACCCAGGCTGGAGTGCAGTGGTGTGATCTCGGTTCATTGAAAGCTCTGCCTCCCAGGTTCACACCATTCTCCTGCCTCAGCCTCCCGAGTAGCTGGGACTACAGGCGGCCACCACCACACCCGGCTAATTTTTTGTATTTTTAGTAGAGACGGGGTTTCACTGTGTTAGCCAGGATGGACTCGATCTCCTGACCTTGTGATCCTCCCGCATTGGCCTCCCAAAGTGCTGGGATTACAAGCATGAGCCACTGCGCCAGGCCTCCGTATGAATTTTAGTATCAACTTGTCAATTTCCGCAAAAAGGGCAGATGGAATTTTGACAGAGATTGTATTGAGTCTGTACATCAATTTGGGGGTGTACTGGCATCTTAACAATACAAGTCTTCCAACCTATCAACAGGGGATAATTTTCCATTTGTTTAGATCTTCTTTAATTTTTTTGATGATGTTTTGTAGTGTTCAACGTACTTGTATTTCTTTTTCTTTTTTTTTTTTGAGACGAAGTCTCTCTCTGTCACCCAGGCTGGAGTGCAGTGGCACGATCTCAGCTCACTGCAACCTCTGCCTCTCAGGTTCAAGCGATTCTCCTGCCTTAGCCTCCCGAGTAGCTGGGATTACAGGTGCCAGCCACCACACCTGGCTACTTTTTGTATTTTTAGTAGGGACAGGGTTTCGCCATGTTGGTCAGGCTGGTCTTGAACTCCTGACCTCAGGTGATCCACCCACCTTGGCCTCCCAAAGTGCTGGGATAACAGGCATGAACCACCGTGCCCCGCCATGTCTTGTATTTCTTTTGTTAAATTTATTCCTAAGTATTTTATTCTTTTTAATCCTATTGTAAATGGGATTTTTAAAAATTATGTTTTTGGATTGTTTATTTCTAGTGTAAGAAATACAACTGATTTTTGTATATTAATTGTGTATCCTGCAACCTTGCTTAGCTCATTTATTATCTTTAATAGTTGTGTGTTTGTGTGTGTGTGTGTGTGTGTATGTGGATTCTTTAGGGTTGTTTTTTTTTTTTTTTTTTTGAGATGGAGTTTCGCTTTTGTTGCCCAGGCTGGAGTGCAATGGCGCGATCTTGGCTCACCGCAACCTCCGCCTCCCAGGTTCAAGCAATTCTCCTGCCTCAGCCTCCCGAGTAGCTGAGATTACAGGCATGCACCACCACGCTCAGCTAATTTTGTATTTTTAGTAGAGACGGGGTTTCTCCATGTTGAGGCTGGTCTTGAACTCCTGATCTCAGGTGATCTGCTCACCTCAGCCTCCCAAAGTGCTGGGATTACAGGCATGAGCCACTGCGCCTGGCTCTTTAGGGTTTTTGATATACAAGATCATGCCATCTGTAAGTAGAGATAGAGATAGTTTTACTGCCTCCTTTCCAATGGGGATGTATTTTCTGTTTCTTGCGTAATTGTCCTGGCTGGAACCTCCAGCACAGTGATGAAATAGAAGTGATGAGAGCAGAACACCATGTCCTATTCCTGAGCTTAGGGGAAACATTCAGTTTTTCACCATTAAGTATGATAGTAGCTATGGGTTTTTCATATATATACATATATATATATATATGTATATATATATACACATATATATACATATATATATGTATATATATATACACATATATATACATATATATATACACATATATATACACATATATATACACATATATATATACATATATATATACACATATATATATATATACATATATATATATATATACACACTTTTTTTTTTTTTTTTGAGACAGAGTCTTACTGTGTCACCCGGGCTAGAGAGCAGGGGTGCAATCTCGGCTCACTGCAACTGCCGCCTCCCAGATTCAAGCGATTCTTGTGCCTCAGCCTCTTGAGTAGCTGGGATTGCAGGTGTGCACCACCATGCCTGGTTACTTTTTGTATTTTTAGTAGGGACCAGGTTACACCATGTTGGTCAGGCTGGTCTCGAACTGCTGACCTCAGCTGATCTGCCCGCCTAAGCCTCCCAGAGTGTTGGGATTGCAGGCGTGAGCCACTGTACCCATCGGTTTTTCATAGATTTTTAAAAATCAGGTTGAGGAAGCTCCCTTTCACTTCTAGTTTGTTGAGTGTTTTATCACGAAGACGTGTTGGATATTATCAAATGCTTTTTCTGTGATTATTGAGTTGATCCTATATGTCTTTTCCCCATATATATATATATGTTTTTTTTTTTTTTAAGACGGAGTCTTGCTCTGTTGTCCAGGCTGGAGTGCAGTAGCGCGATCTCGGCTCACTGCGAGCTCCGCCTCCCGGGCTCACGCCATTCTCCTGCCTCAGCCTCCTGAGCAGCTGGGACTACAGGCACCCACCATCACGCTCGGCTAATTTTTTTTTTGTATTTTTAGTAGAGACGAGGTTTCACTGTGTTAGCCAGGATGGTCTCGATCTCCTGACCTCGTGATCCGCCTGCCTCGGCCTCCTAAAATGTTGGGATTACAGGCATGAGCCACCACGCCCAGTACCCGCTTCTGAATATTTTAAGAAGGGCATCTTGCCAGTGGACTCTAGTCCCAACTTAGGTCTCAACACAGCTAGGAGGGGAGATGTGTGACTGTTCTATTTTGTTTGTTGGCTAGTCTGACTTAAATACTTATTAGTATTAGTATTGTTATTATTTTTTGAGACAGTCTCGCTCTGTTGCCCAGGCTGGAGTGCAGTGGTGCAATCGTGGCTCACTGCAGCCTCGACCTCTTGGGATCAAGCGATCTTCCCACCTCAGCCTCCTGAGTAGCTGGGACTACAGGCATGCGCCTGGAATATTTTTGTATTTCTTTTTTTGTAGAAACAGGGTTTTGCCATGTTGCCCAGGAAGGTCTCGAACTCTTGAGCTTAAGTGATATGCCTACCTCGGCCTCCCCAAGAGCTGGCATTACAGGCTTGAGTCACCACTCCCAGCCTGAAGCATTATTATTATTATTATTATTATTATTATTATTATTATTATTAGAGACAGAGTCTCACTGTGTCACCCAGGCTGGAGTGCAGTGGCATGATCTCGGCTCACTGGGACCTCTGCCGCCTGGGTTCAAGCGATTCTCCTGCCTCAGCCTCCCGAGTAGCTGGGATTACAGGCACCTGCCACTGCGCCCGGCTAATTTTTGTATTTTTAGTAGAGACGGGGTTTCACCATCTTGGCCAGGCTGGTCTTGAACTCCGACCTCAGGTGTTCCACGTGCCTCGGCCTCCCAAAGTGCTGGGATTACAGGTGTGAGCCACCGCACCCAGCCAAAACACTATTATTAAAATCACTTATTTGTAAACAGGTAATATTTGCACATGATAAGTACAAATCATTTAGTAAAAAGTCAACGGTGACAGGCTTGCTTTGTTTTATTCCCTTTCGGCAAACAGGTGCCCATTTCCTCGCATTTTGTCTATGGTGCCTTTCTTGCAACAAAGGCAGAGATGAATAGCTGCTACAGAGACTCAGGGCCTACATATCAGAGAACATTTTCTATTAGGCCCTTTACAGAAACCTTCGCTGATTTTTTTTTTTTAGTATTTTACCATTTCAGACAATGTTGCTATGCTATCTTTGTATATCTGTCATTTTGCACATGGGAGTTTCTGTAGAATGAATCTCTCTATGTGGAAATGCTAGGTCTTAAGGTGTCAGCATTTGTCGTTTTGATAGGTGTTACCAAATAGCCCTCTAGGGAAGTTGAACTAATTTATACTGTCTTCAGCGAAGCATGCTTGGACCTGTTCCCCACAGCCTCCACTAACCTTGTTAACATCTTGATACTTGCCGATCCGAGAAGGGAAACACGATGCTCATTGTAGTTTTAATTTGCATCTATCTGATTATGAATAAAGAGTTAGCATCTTTTCAAGTCTAAAAATCTTAAAAACAAAACTCCTGAACTTTTCCCGCCCAACAGACTCAAGACTCGTGACCCGGCCGTTGGCACGACGCGGGACGCCGGTGTGGCAGTGGCGGAAGAGGCAGATATCGCGGACCACCCCCGCGCCCCCCAATTCCTTTCAACCAATTCCCTCCCAGCCGCGGAGCCCCGCCCCCAGTCCGCCTCTGGCCAGCTTGGGCGGAGCGCACGGCCAGTGGGAGGTGCTGAGCCGCCTGATTTATTCCGGTCCCAGAGGAGAAGGCGCCAGAACCCCGCGGGGTCTGAGCAGCCCAGCGTGCCCATTCCAGCGCCCGCGTCCCCGCAGCATGCCGCGCCCCCGCCTGCTGGCCGCGCTGTGCGGCGCGCTGCTCTGCGCCCCCAGCCTCCTCGTCGCCCTGGGTGAGTGGATCGCGCCGCCCTCTGCCCCTCGCCCCTCCTCCCCGCGCCGCTCGGAAGTTTGCCCGGCGCCCGCCCTCCACCTCCACTGTTGACAAACTTAGACAAAGCCCCGGGGACCGGGCTGGGCAGAGGGGCGGCTTCTTCCGCTGCGCCCTGGCGGGACAGGGGGATGCGGCCCTGCTGTCTCTGCGCTGGGGCTTTTGGGCTGGGACTCGGGACATCGGGTGACAGCCCTGCCGCCCCCAGGGATGCGGCTTACAGATAATGACAAAGGAATCCGCTGTGTCGGGCCTCTCTTTTCCCTGGTGAAAAATGAGGCCAGGGAACTGCGTTTGACTTTCGAACCCCTTCCACCTGGGAGATTCTAGGACTCTAGTATGGATAAGTCTTGTCTGGATAACTTTGTCCTGGCCATCTCCCTGCCAACTCCAGTTGGCTGGACAGTTCATTGGATTTTTGCGCTCCCAATTGTCCGTGCCTGGTCACATAAGGGAAGGGCCGGGGAGTCGGTGCAATGGACGCAGGCCGTAAGTGGGGCCCGGGAGGGGACCCAGAGGCTTCGAGGAGCTTGGAAGAGGGCTGCCTGCTGATGGGAGTCTCCTGACTCCCTCCCTCCCGCGGCCTTGGCCGGCTGCTGTATCTTCCCCGGTCCTCCTCCGCCTCCCAGGAGGCCTCCGGAGGCCAGCTGGGCCCCTTGCAGGCTGGACTTGCGGATGCCCCGTGCCATTCACCGTGGAGCGCTGGGAGGGAGTCAGGGCCAGGACTCTTTAGGTGGCCCCTCCATCATTTTCTCATAGAAATGGGATTGACTGAAGCAAGGTAGGTAACAGCTGAGCCCCAGCCCTATGTCCTGTGATCTGCCTGACCCTCGGGGCTAGAGCTTCCAGAGTGCTCCAAGCTCCCAGGAACTTGGGAGCTCCTGGCCCTCCCCGGCCACCATGAAAGACAGCTGGATCTTCTTAGCCCCTTTCTACTCTTCCCTGTACCCCCCAACCTGAACTCTGGCCAAATGTTACTGGAAAGTCCCCGAAAGAGCAGGACTCTGAAGTCCCAAAGATGTTTTTATACAGGGTGATGTGGCCTTTTCCAGAAGGAGGAAACACCATACCTATCTTACACACAGGTAACGTGGCTGGGTAGAGTACACCTTTCCCTTTCCCTTTTTCCCACTGGACCGTTTTGCCCTGGAGCAGTGTAGGGAGAGGGCCGGTGCAGTTGGGAGGGAAGAGTCCATTCCCAACCCAAGCCTCTGTCTGTGTCAATGCTCGCCCCCGCCTGCCAGGTCAGAGGAAGGATTACCTGCTATTTAAAGCCAATGACTAATAGCTCCTTGGGAGCCACTTTAAGCTCCTGAGGCCCCTGGAGGGGGAGCTCTGAGGGCAGATCGCTCATTAATGGTGTTGTTGCCTTCCCTGGAGTGGGATGAAGGGGCTTTGAGATTTCAGGAGGACTCTCCAGCCTTAGATGGGTGACTCTGAGGGGGAGGCAAAAAGGTTTTTTTTTTTTTCTTTTTTCTTTTTGAGATGGAATCTTGCTGTGTCGCCCAGGCTGGAGTGCAGTGGCGCGGTCTTGGCTCACTACAAGCTTCGCCCGCTGGGTTCATGCCATTCTCTTTCCTCAGCCTCCCAAGTAGCTGGGACTACAGGCACCTGCCACCACGCCCGGCCCGGCTAATTTTTTGTATTTTTAGTAGAGACGGGGTTTCACCGTGTTAGCCAGGATGATCTGGATCTCCTGACCTCATGATCCTCCCACCTCGGCCTCCCAAAGTGCTGGGATTACAGGTGTGAGCCACCATGCCCGGCCAAGGCAAAAAGATGTCTCATGTCTTGCTCCAAATGACAGATTTGGGTGTAGGGTCTGGGGCAGCCCTTCTGGGATGCTAATGTCGGCTAGAGGACTCCTGTTGGGCCCGGCCGACCCACCAGAGTCAAGGGATTGAGGACAGGCCCTCCTGTTCCTTCTCCTGTGTTCTCCACCACCGGGGCTGATAGTGTACATCTGTCATCCAGGTTCCCATCCAGAAGCCCTGGTGGCCTCTCCAGCCCTTGCCCCCTGGTGGTTCTGAAATCACCCTTCCTTTTCACTCCTCTGCCCTGACTTCCTCTCTCACCATGCTCTCCTGCTCTCCACCTTCACCCTCTTCAGTGGGATTTCTGCATTTCAGCCAGAGGGACCTGTCTGCAGCTACCAGATGCTCCCCACCCTGGGAGAGCTCAGCGGCATGTCTGCACATGGGCCTTTTCAGCCTTCTTCATCCCGCAATTGGAACTGACTTTCCCACTCCCATCTCACACTTGAGAATCTCTGTTTCTTGTTTCTTGTTTTTTATTTTATTTTTATTTTTTCTCCCCCCTGGTGGACAATGGTGAGGAGGGTGAAGGAAGGTTAAAAGCCACTGCTCTACGGGATGAAAAACTAAACTTGTCATTCTTCAGATCCCTCCCAGTCTGGCCCCAGCCTACCCTTCCAGCTGCATCTAACTGTGCTCCAACATACCACACCCTCTGTGCATCTGCTTTTCTTGGAACATTCTTTACTCATTGCCCAGTCTGGCACCCCCCTTACTTTGTCTTCTAGACCCAGCTCAAATATTCCCTCCTCTGGGGAACTTCTAATTCCCCAGCAGAAATCATGCCTCCAGTGACGGTCCATGCAGGCTTCTGGAGCGTTGGGCAATCTTCCTCATCTGTGGACTTGCTGGCCTCTTTCCCCTTGGCTTCTTGAGGCCTGCGCTGCATCTGATTTCTCTGTCTCGGGGGCCTAGCATGGTCATTGGCCCTCCCAGTGTTTCCTGGATGATCATCGTGCTGTTCCTGAGTCAGGGCTGCCATTGGAGGTGACATCTGTGACTGCAACCTGTGCCTGAATTGGTGGGCGGAACCTGCTCAATGGGCCAGAACAATGCTTCCTTCCACTGCCCCTGCCTGAAAGTCCTCATGGGCCTCCTTTGCAATCAAACTGCTGCCAAGAGACCTGCCCTGGACCTTGCCTGCCTCTCCAGACCCCAGCTGCCAGCTCTTCCACCAGTGGGCAGTGGTCCCCAGCACCACTGCCATTGTCAGCCAGCACTTTTCTGGACACTCCCAGGCCACTTGGAAAGCTGGGCGCTTCCCTTATGTGGGCCGATTCGCCTACACATGGACTTCCTTGGCTCTAGGCGGACTCAGGCTCCATCCAGCACACGGGGGAAGAGGGAGAGGAAGAGATAATGGGCGAGTTTGAGTGGAGGGTCCTTTTGGGCTGGACCCATCTGCTACTTCTCACCTGTGTCCCCAGCTCCTTCCTGATCATCTGCTCATCTTACCTGTCTCTGTCCCCAGATATCTGTTCCAAAAACCCCTGCCACAACGGTGGTTTATGCGAGGAGATTTCCCAAGAAGTGCGAGGAGATGTCTTCCCCTCGTACACCTGCACGTGCCTTAAGGGCTACGCGGGCAACCACTGTGAGACGAGTGAGTATGTGGGGGTGCTTGTTGCCTGTTTCTAGCAGTAGACCCTGAGCCACAGCCCTGGTGGCATAGGCCATATGCTGGCCTTATTCTCTGCCTGTGATCCCCACCCCAGTGGAGGTGTCAAGGCCTCCTCTGGGGAGACTCAGAGAGAGAGACAGAGCCTCAGTTAGACCGAGGGGGGAAAAGGGTCCTGTTGTTTCTTCCTTCTTTCTGCCTGGCCCTCTTTCCTGAGACTGCCGGCCAGGCCTGATGCTGATGCAGAGGAGTGAGGGGTTGTGGTCACCCTGGAGGTCACGGGAGTGCTGTTTCTTGAGTCACCATGAGCCAGACACACAGCATTAGGGTTAAGTTGCAAGGATTTTTCTACCTAAGAGGGGAAAACAAACACATTCTTGGTCTTTTGAGGCCCAGGAACTCAGTAAATCAGCCTTGGTTTCAGAGTCTGACAGTTCCTGGCCCAAGTTTGACCTGCAGCCTCATCGCAGAGCTCGGGGAGAAGGGAGAGGCCTGGGCCAGCTGAACCATCCCCACGCGGTCAGGTGGTCAGAGGCCTTGCATGCCCAGAGGGGCTGTCCGCGTGTGACCTGCCTGGTTATCCACTCGGCCACAGAATGGCCCTAGGTGGGGTGGCAACAGCAGTTCCCCTGCTGTCCTCCCTCCAGGCCCAGCTGGAGTCCCTCCCACTTAGTGCTCCCACCCCACTAGGACTCCTCATGGGGCAGGCGGGTTGCCCACATGTGGGCCCAGGGATGGGTGGAGCGGGGGGTCCTAGGTTTCTGAATCCAGCAGGTCAATCGCTGAGCATCTTGGGTAGGGGACAGGGGACATCTTGCCCTCCTCAGGGAGATGTGGGGATGGGTTCTGAGGTTTGCTGGCCTCCAGAAGGAGGGGGCGGGGGGCTTGAGCCAGCTGGGTGGCAGCAGGGGCCCTGGGAGAGAGCAGGTCAAGTGAGTAGGATGCCTTTTACCTCCCAAGTGGCCCTGGGGCCTGTGCCTTGGACCCTGCCCTGAGGCCAGATGTGTTTGAGATCCTGGTGGAAGGGTGTGTGTATGGTTTGGCGGACGGGTTGCTAAGGCAATCAGAGCCCTGGGTAGGGCCAGGTGGAGCCACTAACAAGTATCCTGGGAGCTGAGGTAACAGTGAGTGTGCCTGAGTGGGAATTACCCACCTTGACTTCTAGCTTCTGGGCCTGGGATCTTCCCCAGGCTGGATATGGCTGCACCCAGGAAGAAGGCAGGGGTGACCACACAGCGGAGGAAGCCCTCAGAGGGACCTTCGCAGCTCTTCCTTGCCTTTTACGTGGTATGTTTCCTTGGAGCCAACAAGGACCCTGCGGGCCCAAAGAATGCACACTGGACTCCTTCAGGGTGTGAGCGTGGTGGGGTATGGGGATAGTCTTGGAGGCAGACTGGGGTCAAATCTCAGCTCAGCCACTGGCCGAGCTCTGGTCTTGAGGCTCTGGCCTCACTTTGCGCGTTCCCCTCCCTGCCAGAGTGCGCTAACACTGAGCTCGTCCGCGCCTGTGATGTTGGAGGAAGACTAGATCTGTCTGTGGGTTCTCTGCTTGGCAGCTGGAAGGCCCAGGCACACGCTGGGGGGATCCCCAGGTGATGAGAGAAGCTTGGCCTGTAGGTGGGCCTGGTAGCTGTCCTGGGTTCCTGGGACCACACTGCTGGAGTGATGGTGAGGGGGGTGGGGCCTTGGCCACGGGCATGTTCACAGATGGCTGGGTGAGGGCCCACAGGTGGAAGGCGTAAAGAGGGAAAGCAGAATGGCATTTGTGCCCCACCCAGAGAACTCCTGCCAGTGGGATTCTAGAAAACTCCAGGCAGATTAGCTTCTTTCTTTGTGTACAGTGCTGGTACTGTTCACTGCTATCCGAGGTAGCCCTTCTCCCAAAGCCACCCTCCTGAGGAAGCCAGGGGCTGGGCTGAGGATGGCGTCCCTTCCTGGTGGGGGGAGGGGACACTGAGGAAGAGGGGGTCACACCGGTATTCTGTGCCACCAGTCTAACCCCTGCACCAGACTGATTGCTGCCAGATGCCCTATATGAACGAGGCCACCTCCCACAGCCTGGCGGGGGGGACTCTACTTTCCATGAGTGCCAATCATGGCTGTCCCCACAGTGCTACCCTGGCTGGGATCCTCTGGCAGCCCTGGGTCCCAGCCTCCCGTGACTCTGCCCACCCCCCTCATCCTCACCACCCCTGGCCACATACCTTTTCTTGGCACCTCGTCCTGGGCACTGCCTTCATTGTCCCTTTGTGGTCTTTGTTCTGAGAGAGGCTCTGAGGTTCTCCCTGGCCCTGGGGCTTAGGCAGAGGTCATACAGTCTTATTTTCTTGTCCGCTGGGTCCCAGCTGGGCCCGGGAACCTGCTGGGGTAGCCACCTGACTGCCACCTCCCTTCCCTCAGAATGTGTCGAGCCACTGGGCCTGGAGAATGGGAACATTGCCAACTCACAGATCGCCGCCTCGTCTGTGCGTGTGACCTTCTTGGGTTTGCAGCATTGGGTCCCGGAGCTGGCCCGCCTGAACCGCGCAGGCATGGTCAATGCCTGGACACCCAGCAGCAATGACGATAACCCCTGGATCCAGGTATGCCTGGGGATGGCCCTGGGGCGGGGCAATGGAGAGAAGGCTCGATGAATGTTTCTGCATTTGGGGGTTACCCCAGGAGGGTTCATCACTGGGGTTCAGGTGGCAAGGTAACAGGTTCCCATGGATGAAGTATCTGTAAGTGGATGGCATCCCTGGAGGAACCTGGTATGGGGTCAAGGTGAGGGGGGAGGAGGCCCCAGGCTGTGGAGGAGCTGTTGGTGCTGGATGAGGCCTCTGGAGGCCTGGGCAGAAGAAGAAAGCCCTTTGTGCGGGCAGTGTGCTCAGCTACCCCTCCTCTGTTTTGCTTGAGTTGTTCCCCCACCCAGTGGGGGAGTGAAGGGATGGGTCTGCTTGGATCTTGAGTGGAAAGAACCCAGGAGATAAGGGTGCCATCTCCCCTGCCCTGTGTCCAGGTGAACCTGCTGCGGAGGATGTGGGTAACAGGTGTGGTGACGCAGGGTGCCAGCCGCTTGGCCAGTCATGAGTACCTGAAGGCCTTCAAGGTGGCCTACAGCCTTAATGGACACGAATTCGATTTCATCCATGATGTTAATAAAAAACACAAGGTAGGTCTTGTTGGGGCCCGAAAGAAGGGCTGTGGTCCATACCCCCTAAGGTTCTAGCATTGACTGAGGACCCCCAGCGAGTCCAGAGAACCCTAGGTGATTGGCTATGATGTGGGTCTTCGGGTGCATCTTGGCTTCTAGAAATTGGGAAACCCAGACTGTGTCCATGTTCTGTGGTTTATAAGCAATAGTCCCACTTTAGAGATGAGACTAGTGAGATTCAAAATGGCACAGTGACCTGTTGAGGGTGATAGTGGTGGTGGAGCTGGGTTTCATTCTGAGCCTTCATGGGTACATGTACAGTTGTGTAGGTTGTACACTGCTCAAGGATGTCATTGCTAAGCAGGCACCATTCACAGTACAGGCATTGTACATTTGTGGAACTCTGTCAGAAAATTGTCATAATAAACTATTTGAGAAAGGAGTGCCTTTTCCTAATTTGCAAAGAGGTACCCTGTAGGTTACAGGTGGCCCTGTGTCAGCTATAGGGGTTTATGCCCAGGCTCCATGATGATTAAGGAAAGTGAGAGGAGAATCTTTGTGGAGGGCCGTGGGGTGGCCAAAGGAGAGGCTGCTGTGTGAGCCTCTGCTGGCTCTTCCAAGTCCTCTTCACCCTCCCAGCCCCACCTCTGCCTCCCAGGTCTGAAGAGGAAGATGAGGTAACCCCAGGGAGGGGGACTGCTCAGATGGACCCCCTTCTCCAGTCTTGTCCCTTCCCTGCTAGGAGTTTGTGGGTAACTGGAACAAAAACGCGGTGCATGTCAACCTGTTTGAGACCCCTGTGGAGGCTCAGTACGTGAGATTGTACCCCACGAGCTGCCACACGGCCTGCACTCTGCGCTTTGAGCTACTGGGCTGTGAGCTGAACGGTGAGTGCTGGGGGTGCGGGTAGGGGGGCACTGTTGGCCAATCCTAGGAGGTGGCCCTCCCTGCTGCCTCTTTTCTCAGCCAAACTGAGCTAGGTAGGGCAGCAACAAGGCACGGGGACCAGGCTTCACTCGGGCAACGCACTCTAGGGGGTCACCTGGCCATAGCAGCCCCACCCAGGTGTTTGCTGTCTGCCAACCCATGACCCAGGGCATTCTGATTGATAGAGAAAAAGACATCAGTTTTCAAAGTATTTTCCCTTCTTCTGGTTGGCTCCTCTCCTGTAGCTTCTAGAACATGTAGCGTTAGGTGTGTTTGGCAGATGTCAGCTTTACGAGGGCAGAGAATCTGTCTGTTTTGTTTGCTTCGGTATTCCCAGGGCCTAGAATGGTGTCTGGTTTATAGGTACTCAATAAATATTTGATGAATGAGCGAATGAATGAATGAGGGGCGTGGGGCCCCGATGAATGATTTATTAAGGGTACACATCTGGTAGGTATTAAGACTTGGTCTAGATCTCTGGGCTCCCGACCACACCCATCCAGAGCTTTCCCTGCCAAACTCTTAAGAGTCTGCACTCCAGAGAAACACAGGGGCTTCTTGGACCACAGGGCTTGGAGCTGGTGCTTCCTGCTGCCTTTTCCAAAGAGATTCCCAGATGAAGAGCTGGGGAGACCATAAAGGGACAGATTTCTGCAGAGCCAGGGGACAGCCTGGGCGAGGTCAGAGTGCCGGGTTTGGGCTGACAGACATTAATTGTCTCAGCCCAGCTCAACCCAGCTTTCCTGAGGTCTGGGTATTTCTCTCTCTTTGCAGCCACAATGCCACCTGCTGGCCATCAGTGGAACTGTAGGGCTCGCTAAGCAGAGCTGCAGAGTGGAGGTTCTTATCTTACCCGCTGGCCTTTTGATCTTACCTGCCCTCCTGTGCCCCGCCTTTCCCCTCTGTGACACCTCTTCCTGTTGTCTCATTTCAGACACCACCCAAATACCCCTCAGAGCTGAGTTCAGTGCCTGGCTGGGTTCAGTGTTTTTAGTATGAACTTGAGTAGGTATGCTTCCTCCACCAGGGGCCCTTTTGAGCCGTATTGTTTCAGTGGGGAGTATAAGACTTTGCCTTCTGCTAGAAGGAAATGTAGGCTACTGGGAAAGGACAGAGCCAGGTCTGTGTGCCTCTCCCTGGAGTCCCTGACACTTGCTGTTTTGGCTTGAAGCCTTTGGCCATTAAAGTTGCCTGTATCCAGGCATGACTGGCCCCTGCTCAGGGCCAAGAGAGGGTGAGTCTTGCAAACCAAGGAAGCCCAGGTACCCTGTCTGCTTCCTTCAGGGTCTGGACCACTCCTTTCCCTATAGGCCTTCCAGTCGGCTGGAGAGTGTTGGTGCATGTGTGCATGTGTGCACGTGTGCATGTGTGTGGGTGGGGCTGAGGTCTGGGGGTACCTGGGATTCCACAAGGGATTCCTCTTTGCAGACATATGGTGTCTTTGGTAAATTAATTATTTAATTCGATGGATGTTTATTAAGATATTGATTAAGCCCCTCCTGGGTGCTTGGCTCTAGGGAATGATTCCTTGACCTCATGTAATTTGCATTGTAGCAAGGAAGGCAGACTTGAGGCGAGGAGCAGATGACAGAGAGCAGTAACAGCTCTGAAGAAAAGCTAGAGGCTGATGAGATGACCATGACTTGGGGTGAGGGGAGAGAGCAAGACAAGGACTGCTCTGTCGGGAAGGCCTTTGACTGGGGGCCTGAATGATGGAGAGCCAGCCACATGAAAAACTTAAAAACAGCACTGCAAAAAGAGCACTGCAGGCAAGGAATTGGTAAATGCAAAGGCCCTGGGGCATGTTGAAGGGTGGAAGGAAGGCCAGTGGAGCTGGAGCCAAGAGATGGAGGGGCAGCTTGGTGGGTGAAGAGCCCCAGGGACCCGCAGTGTCATCACCTAGGAGCTTCTTAGAAATGCAGACTGAGGCCGGGTGCGGTGGCTCACGCCTGTAATCCCAGCACTTTGGGAGGCCGAGGCGAGCGGATCACCTGAGGTCAGGAGATCAAGACCAGCTTGGCCAACATGGCGAAGCCCCGTCTCTACTAAAAAAATACAAAAATTAGCCAGGCGTGGTGGCAGGTGCCTGTAATCCCAGCTACTAGGGAGGCTGAGGCAGGATAATTGCCTGAACCCGGTCAGAAGGTGGAGGTTGCAGTGAGCCGAGATCATGCCACTGCACTCCAGCCTGGGTGACAGAGCGAGACTGTGTCTCAAACAAACAAACAAAAAAACAAAAAAAAAGAAATACAGACTGAAAGCCCCAGCCTAGACTTGCTGAAACATAAGCTTTTTTTTTTTATATCAAGATCCCCAGGTGATCTGTGAGAATTACTCCCCTAGTATCTCATTTTATAGATGGGGAGACTGAGAGCCAGAGAGAGGAAGGGACTTCCTAGAGTGCTGGAGCTGACAGTCCTGTCCCTGCCCTGGTGCCCCTTCCAACTGCATTTTACCAGAAAGGCTGTCTGACTTCCTGGGGAGGCTGAGAGTGAGGAGGGTATGAACCACTAGAAGCAGATGATCTGTAGAGGGGTCTGCGTTGAGCACATTGTGCAGAATTGGTGTCCTCTGCAAAGCTGCCCAGGTTTTAGCCTGCCTCAGGCCTCTCCTCTTCTGGGGCCAAGGGACAACCAGCTCTCAGCCCGGGAGCCTCTCTTTGAGGGGGAAGGTGGTGGTTCCCTGGTGCATCACCATCAGGAGATGATGGTACCATCAGCAGGCATTGTCAACACACCCTGGAGGCAAATGTCTTGAGTGGTGAGAGTACAGGTGGGCAGTGATATAACTTAGCTGGCTCCCAGTACTCTTGAGTGGTGAGAGTATTGGAGGGCAGTGATATAACTTAGCTGGCTCCCAGAGGGCAGGGGGCTCTCCAGTCCCACCGTCCACTCCTGCCTCCCTCAATTCCCCAGAGGGATAGACACTTGTGGAGTGAGGATTCTTCCAGGTGGGAGACACCCCCATCATTCTCTTGGGAGTTGTATCTCTTGCCCATCCCCAACTGTTCTATCCATATGCAGGTGCAGATACAAGTGCAAGGCAGCCCGGCACATTCCTGAGTGTTTGGGGCAGGGCTGAGTGAAACAAAGGCCAGCTTCCCGGGCCAGCCCTCACAGGCCTGTGTGACAGCATCCCCAGAACATTTGAGTGTGCGAAGGCCCTCTGGGAGACACTAAGTCAGGGGGCTTCTGGGGAATGGAAATAGAGATGTTCCTGTGCCCCAGGAGTTGTCTGATTTCTCTAACTGCCAGCTGCTGGAGGGCAGGGATGTTGTCCTGTTCATCACTGGGTCGTCACTAGGCAGGCCTTCATCATCTAGCTGGGATGTGTAGCTGGTAGAGGTGACGTCATAGTGTGACATTAGGAGTTTGTATGTGACTTGAGCATGATGCTTAATGTCTTTCAGTTTTCTCATCTATAGAATGGGCTTACTAATTTCTACTTCATTTAGTGTTTTTTTTTCTTTTTTTTTTTGGTGGCAGGTTAAATGACTGAAGTAAGCACTGAATAAACAATGTGGTTGTTATTAAAGTAGATAGTGACTGTGCCATGGGACGGATGGGAGGCCGAGGCGATGGGGGCAGTGCTGTGAGTCCAGAAGAGGAAGAAATCCTGCCCAAGTGAAGTAGTCAGGGCAGACTTCTTGGAGGAGGTGTCTCCAAAGTCAGGCATTGAAGGAGGGCAGGAGGTGGTGGAGCAGGGGCCTTCCCTGGTGCAGAGGAGAAGGGTGGTGAGTGGGAGGTCTTGGGTGATCTGTGAGGAGCTGAGCCCGGCTGGTTGAGGTGAGGAGGTGGTGGGGTCGGCAGTGAGAAGGTCGCACAGTTGGCCCTGCAAGGCGGATGGAGCTGCTTTCTGTTGCCCAAGAGCATGACAGGGGCTGGTCAGGATCCACAGAGTTCTTTCTGCTTCATCGCCTTGTGCTCCTGCCCCTGGGAGCTGTGGATCCCAGATCCAGATGACAGCCCACCTTGCTGGCAGGATGCGCCAATCCCCTGGGCCTGAAGAATAACAGCATCCCTGACAAGCAGATCACGGCCTCCAGCAGCTACAAGACCTGGGGCTTGCATCTCTTCAGCTGGAACCCCTCCTATGCACGGCTGGACAAGCAGGGCAACTTCAACGCCTGGGTTGCGGGGAGCTACGGTAACGATCAGTGGCTGCAGGTGGGTCAGCCTTCTTGGGATATGGGGCTGGGGTTGGGTGGGATGAGGTGGGACTGCCAGATCTTTGACCTCTCTCCAGCCCAGGCTTCTCTTCTGCTCCCCAAAAGAGTTCTGGAAAAGCCTTGTTTTTCTTCGGCTTTTCTTTCTTCTTCCCACCTGTACTCCCTTCTCTTGATCCTGCTTCCACCAAGGTGGAGAAAGGGTGTGTGTGTGTATGTGTGTGTGTGTGTGAATGTGTGTGTGTGAGTGTGTGAATGTGTGTGAATGTGAGTGTGTGTGAATGCGTGCGTGTGAATGCGTGCGTGTGAATGTGTGTGTGAATGTGTATGTGTGAATGTGTGTGTGTGAATGTGTGAATGTGTGTGTGAATGTGTGAGAATGTGTGTGAATGTGTGTGTGAGAATGTGTGTGTGAATGTGTGTGTGTGAATGTGTATGTGTGAATGTGTATTTGTGAATGTGTGTGAATGTGTATGTGAATGTGTATGTGAATGTGTATGTGTGAATGTGTGTGAATATGTGTGTGTGAGAATGTGTGTGTGTGTGTGAATGTGTGTGTGTGAATGTGTGTGTGTGAATGTGTGTGTATGTGTGTACACAAGGGGAGAGCCATTCCATGGGCTGCCACAGGATTGACAAGGCTCAGCCTATGGACA
Organism: Homo sapiens; assembly: GCF_000001405.40. Classification (NCBI taxonomy): domain Eukaryota; kingdom Metazoa; phylum Chordata; class Mammalia; order Primates; family Hominidae; genus Homo; species Homo sapiens. The sequence goes on along the minus strand of NC_000015.10, from coordinate 88,900,895 downwards.
GACAGCAGGGCGGAGGCGGAAGAGGGAGACATGACCCAGGCATCTTGGGACCTCTCCCTTGAGCACAGCATACATATTCTCTGACTCAGTGTCTAAGAAGCCACCATGTGACAGCCCTTGTCTGTCATTGAAACTAGGAAACAAAAGAGAGCCATGGAAAACCGGAGCTTGTTTTATAGATGAGGAAGCCGAGAGCTGGCAGGACGATGATCTGCCTAGTACCCACCTGCTGGCTGGCAGTGAGTTGGGTTTACACCTGGATGTTGGGGAACTGTGTGTCCAGGTGCAGCTGGCAGGTTCTCCAGGGAGGTCAGGGACCGGGGACAGGAGGTCTGTCTCAGGGCCCCATGGAGCACACTGCGGAGCTGGGTTCCCTGAGGAGCTGCCTGCCTGTGGACACCCTCAGGACCAGTGTCAGACTGTGGGCGGCGCCGCAGGGAGCCTCTAGAGCAGTTCATGCCCCTCCAGGCTGTGGCCTCTCCTGTCCTTCTTCCCATCACAGTGCAGTGCAGGTCTCAGGCAGGGGTGGTTGGCGTGGAGTTGGCCAGGGCCCAGACCCTATGAGCTTTATAGCAGTGAGGTACCGAACACCATGTGTGGCAAAGTAGGTGGTATTATTTATGCCCCCTCACCGCTTTTTTTTTTTTTTTTTCTGAGACAGAGCCTTGCTCTGTCACCCAGGCTGGAGTGCAGTGGCGCCATCTCGGCTCACCGCAACCTCCGCCTCCCAGGTTCAAGCGGTTCTTCTGACTCAGCCTCCCTAGTAGCTGGGATTACAGGCAGCCACCATCATGCCCAGCTAATTTTTTGTATTTTTAGTAGAGACGGGGTTTCACCATGTTGGTCAGGCTGGTCTCGAACTCCTGACCTCAGGTGATCCACCTGCCTCAAGTCTCTCCCAAAGTGTTGGGATTATAGGCATGAGACACCATGTCCGGCCTTATGCCCATTTTATAGCCAAAGAAACTGAGGCTCACCCAAGTAGTTTTTTTCAAAACTAGAATTCATGCCTCAGTGTGTCTGCCTCTTTTCACCTTACTGGAGATGGTCCAAGCAGAGAAAATGTGGTTGGTTTCTTCTGTAGGTGGACCTGGGCTCCTCGAAGGAGGTGACAGGCATCATCACCCAGGGGGCCCGTAACTTTGGCTCTGTCCAGTTTGTGGCATCCTACAAGGTTGCCTACAGTAATGACAGTGCGAACTGGACTGAGTACCAGGACCCCAGGACTGGCAGCAGTAAGGTGGGTGTCTGTCCAGCTGCCCACCCTTTGCCATTCCTTCATTACTTCCCTGGGAGTCTGGCCTGGGGCTCTGAGGGGAGGGGGGCTGGCTCGGGGTCCTCCTGACACCCGCTCTGCCTCTAGATCTTCCCTGGCAACTGGGACAACCACTCCCACAAGAAGAACTTGTTTGAGACGCCCATCCTGGCTCGCTATGTGCGCATCCTGCCTGTAGCCTGGCACAACCGCATCGCCCTGCGCCTGGAGCTGCTGGGCTGTTAGTGGCCACCTGCCACCCCCAGGTCTTCCTGCTTTCCATGGGCCCGCTGCCTCTTGGCTTCTCAGCCCCTTTAAATCACCATAGGGCTGGGGACTGGGGAAGGGGAGGGTGTTCAGAGGCAGCACCACCACACAGTCACCCCTCCCTCCCTCTTTCCCACCCTCCACCTCTCACGGGCCCTGCCCCAGCCCCTAAGCCCCGTCCCCTAACCCCCAGTCCTCACTGTCCTGTTTTCTTAGGCACTGAGGGATCTGAGTAGGTCTGGGATGGACAGGAAAGGGCAAAGTAGGGCGTGTGGTTTCCCTGCCCCTGTCCGGACCGCCGATCCCAGGTGCGTGTGTCTCTGTCTCTCCTAGCCCCTCTCTCACACATCACATTCCCATGGTGGCCTCAAGAAAGGCCCGGAAGCGCCAGGCTGGAGATAACAGCCTCTTGCCCGTCGGCCCTGCGTCGGCCCTGGGGTACCATGTGGCCACAACTGCTGTGGCCCCCTGTCCCCAAGACACTTCCCCTTGTCTCCCTGGTTGCCTCTCTTGCCCCTTGTCCTGAAGCCCAGCGACACAGAAGGGGGTGGGGCGGGTCTATGGGGAGAAAGGGAGCGAGGTCAGAGGAGGGCATGGGTTGGCAGGGTGGGCGTTTGGGGCCCTCTATGCTGGCTTTTCACCCCAGAGGACACAGGCAGCTTCCAAAATATATTTATCTTCTTCACGGGAACTCTTGGTGTGGTTCGTTATTGTTTCATGGGAATGGGATTTAAATTGCGCTGGTTTCCCCATCCCCCACCTGTGGTCCTCCCTGAGCCCCAGCTTGCTTGCTTGCTTTTTTTTTTTTTTTTTTGAGATGGAGTCTTGCTCTGTCGCCAGGCTGGAGTGCAGTGGTGTGATCTCGGCTCATTGCAATCTCTGCCTCCTGGGTTCAAGCATTTCTCCTACCTCAGCCTCCCAAGTAGCTGGGACTATAGGTGCACACCACCATGCCCAGCTAAGTTTTATATTTTTAGTAGAGACAGGGTTTCACCGTGTTGGCCAGGATTGTCTCAATCTCTTGACCTTGTGATCCACCTGCCTCGGCCTCCCAAAGTGCTGGGATTACAGGCGTGAGCCACCGTGCCCAGCCCCATCTTTCTTTATGTCACCTGCCTGACTACACATAGCTTCATAGCAGGAGGCTGGAGACTTTGGTCCAGGGCGGCCTGAAGGAAGTCAGGACTTCCAGGTCCTCAAAACCTGACTTCCCCTCTTCCCTCTGCTTTCTACCTCCATGCCGTCTGGCCCTGAGCCCTACAACTGCTGCCTGGTCAGGGGCCCAGCGAGTGCTGGCAGACACTGTCTCCTGAATGCTTTTGCTCCCTTCCTGCCAGGAAGACTGGCTGGGGCAGCTGGTTTTCCCCTTCAGCAGTTTCCATTCTCTCTGCAACTGGAGTGGTGGGCTGGAGAAACTATAAGAAACTCAGTGAACCTGGATGCCTTCCGAACTGCGGGAGTTCCTGGGGTGGGTGCAGCGTGGGACTGGAGGAGGGGGCCGGGGCTCTGCCAAGTGGGCATGAGGCCTCCTGCCTGAACACACTGGTTCCTGGTAGGCCACTGGCGTGTGTGCTCCAGGGATACCCTCTCTGCCCTCCCCTGTGTGGGGGTCATCAAGAAGTGGGGGTGGGCCTTGCGGGCCAGTGTCTTGGTGATCTGGAAGGGTGACTTGCAGGCAGAGGCTTGGCTAGCTTGGGAAGGGGTGTAGGAAAAACCACCCTCTTTGTCAAGGTGAATTTTTCCAAACTTTGGGAGCCGGCTGTGTTCTGCAGGCAGGGGGTGCATCTGAGCAGCAGGAGGTGGGGCCGCCTCTGAGCAGCAGGAGGTGGGGCCGCCTCTGAGCAGCAGGAGGTGGGGCCACAGGGCTGCCAAAGGGAGGGCGTGGCTTTGCTGGAACCACATCAGGGAAATGTGTCTGGAAGTGGTTCCTTTCTGAGACCTGCGGTTGCTGGGCTCCTGGGCCTAGCAGGGTCTGAATAAAAGGCCCAGGCCGTGGTCTTCGTAGGAACTGAGGATGGGGGACTCCCTTCCCCTGGGTGTCCCTTGGCCTACTGCCTCCCGTTTCAGAGCTCTCTTCTGCGGAGCGGTGTGGATTGGGTTTAGAGCCAAGCCTTTCTGCGTGCTTCCAAGCCTCAGGTCTCCCTCCCGGGGGAGTTTCCTGCCCTGAACCCCTGTTCCAGCATACCCTGGGGATAAGCAGACAGTGGGAGAAGCATCTCTGCTCTGGGATGGGTTGGCCACAGCCTTCTAAAAGTCCCCCTCCTGGGACCCTGGAGTGGAGTCCCCTCACTCCTGACCCCCTCCTTCCTTCCTTGGCTTCTCTCCCTCAGCAGTGTCTTCCATTTGCCCAGCTTTTACCATCACCCCTACACATTGACTTTTTTCTGCCCCACTGCAAGGCAGAGGGTGAGCGTTCAGATTCCACCTGCTGGCTACCCCTACCCCTGGCTGGCATGTTCAACTCGACTTAACTGTAGCAAAATGTGCTCTCCCTACTGTCCATCCTCTCCCCTGTCGGGAACCTGCAGAGGGACCTACCTTGGCTCCCCTTTGCCCATCAAGCCTGGCGTTCCTTTTAGGTGTAGTTTACCTGTTGATCACAGTTCTTTGTGCTCCAATGTGCCCCTGGCTGTGTGTAACACACACACATGCACACACACACACACACTCATGGGCCAACTTGAGCTGTGTTTAGGAAGAGGCTCTGAGCTCTGTGACCCTGTGACCCTTCGACCCTTCCCCCAGCCAAAGCTGAAGGACCTCCTTAGTCTTTTCTGCTGAGGAAACATCGGGCTGTCCAGGCCAGGGCCCCCATTGGTCTGGACAGGAAAGAAAACACCCTGTCCAAACAGAGGCATCCTGAGCGGCTGCCTGGATGGCTGTGCTGATTAGCAGGATTCCGAAGGGAGGCCCACCCCTGTTGGAGGACCACTCAGAAGCCTGATTGCCCCTGCAGGCTGCAGAGGTATCCCACCCTGTGTCTCCCCTCCCAGCCAGGGCCACTCATTCAAGCCCCATGTGCTGGGGATAGCACCTGCTATGTGCCTGACAGTGAGTTGGGAATCTGGCCAGTGTTTCATGATGGCCAAACTCAGGGGCATGAGGACATCAGCAACCCCTTGCTTTTTTTTTTTTTTTTTTTTTGAGACGGAGTTTTGCTCTTGTTGCCCAGGCTGGAGCACAATGGCATGATCTCAGCTCACTGCAACCTCCGCCTCCTGGGTTCAAGCAATTCTCCTGCCTCAGCCTCCCAAGTAGCTGGGATTACAGGCATGCTCCACCACGCCCAGCTAATTTTGTATTTTTAGTAGGGACAGGGTTTCACCATGTTGCCCAGGCTGGTCTTGAACTCCTGACCTCAGGTGATCCACCGGCCTCCACCTCCCAAAGTGCTGGGGTTACAAGCATGAGCCACTCACTGCACCTGGCCTCACCCCCTTGCTTTCTATTTGGAAAAGAAAGTAATACAGAAGTCTCACCCCTTCCACAATCAAAGGTGGGGAGCAGCCTTAGCCCCTAGCAGAATGCTGGACAGGGGCTTCCCCTGCTTACTCCCACTGTTTTTGGTATACCAGGCTTTCTAAGGGGATCCCCCCTCCCCAAACTCTCCTATTCCACCCCTACTCTCCTTTCCCAAGACGTGAGGGCCTCAACTCTTGCACACCCTCTTTGCGGTGGTTCCCAGCGAGTCTGGAGACCGCTCAAGCCTGCAGCAGCTCCTCCCTTCGAGCCCAGCCCTTGGGAGGGAAAGGTGCGCGTGTTCCTTTAAGGGGCTGGTCTGGCGGGAGCGCGGGGGTTTTTCTGCTGCCGCTTCCTTTCTGCCCTTTTAATTTCCCCGAAATCAGACTGCTGCCTTGGACCGGGACAGCTCGCGGCCCCCGAGAGCTCTAGCCGTCGAGGAGCTGCCTGGGGACGGTACGTGGCTTAGGGGTCGCTGGGCTTCTGGGGCTGTGTGCGGGCCGGGTTCCTCCCTTACCGCTTTGGGTGCCCTGCGGGTCCCCACACCTCCCGGGCAGGGTCCGGGGAAGGGGCAGGAGGCGTGGGCCGGGCACTGCGGAGGCCCGGGCTGAGATGGGCTGTGATCGCGGGCGAGGGGCGCCCGGGGCACAAGTGGGGAGGGAGCGGCGCGGGGATGCGGGCGCCGGACCCTCGTGCCCACCGTGAGGGAGCAGAGCCCGAGCGGACCCCGTGGCCTCCGAGACCACCGTCCGCCTCCAGCCCCCTTCCTGCCAGGGTCCGCTTGGCTCTCTCCCCTGTCGTCTGTCCAGGGTCGGCTGCCTCCAGTGCCGTCCGCGGCGCCCCAGGCCCTGCCCCTGGGTATCTGTTGGATGCTCCGGGGGCCCCGGGAGTCCTGGGAGGGGCTGAGGGCAACCTGCGAGGCGGCTGGCGGACCTGCGCCTCTGGACCGCAGCTGGCCGGCTCTGGGCGCCTGGGGCAAAGGCAACTGATGCCTATGGGTTCCAGACCTCGCTCACCGGGGTTCTTGCCCCAGGGACAGCGAGGCCAGAAGGGTAGGGAGGGTGGAGGGCAGAGCCCTGGGTGGGAGATGGCGACCCTCAGGGAGAAACGTAGGCTTGTGCGCAGCCAGTATGGAAACAGCACGGCACTTGGACCCAGTCCTGCCACCAGCTCGTTGGCAGCCACAGGCCACAGGCAGCCTGTAAACCTGTTGGGACCTTGGTGTCCAGCGCTGACCCGCGGGAGTGCCTGTGCTCCCTGGAGTAGGGGGCAGCGATTGAGAGGGGCCCTGGCTTCTCTCCCTCGACGCCGCCCGGGCCAGCGGATTGGGAAACACCTCCGGTTTTCATTCTCCTGGGGGCTGCAGGTTTCAAAGGCGGAGATCAAGCCTTGTGCAAACAGGGACAGGGATGTCAAATTTCTCGCTGGGAGCAGCGCTCGTGCAGACCTCGCGGGCGATGCTGCCTCCTGCTGGTACCTGGGGGACTTGTACTCACGGAAGGCCCAGTGCGGACATGCACCTGGCAGGGAGGTGGCACCTACCCTCCCTCCAAGCCCAGGCTTATTGTTCTTGGGTGGAGGGGTCCCTAGGCTGGGGCGCCTGGGAAAAGCAAAGGGCTGGTCATCAGGAAACCTGAACTTTCTCTAAGTTCGAGATATTTGACAAAGATAACGCCTTGGGTAGTTCACTGACCTCCACTCTCTTGGCCTCAGTTTCCTCAACTGTGAAGAGGAGGCAGTGGTGACCACTTTGTCTCGTAGGCAGTGAGAGAGGAGAAAGAGCCACTGAGATGGTGTAAGACTTCACTGTGTGAACTGCTCACCAGAGTAGTAACAGGTCATATTTTCCCAGTGCTTGCTCCTTATCAAGCATCAAGCAGTATTTTCAGTGCTCTGCAGCTATTCTCTCCCTTAATCTTCACGAGAGTGTTTTCTGTTTGGTATTGTCGTGACCGCCCCCCCCACCCCAACTTTTTTTTTTTTTTTGAGATGGAGTCTCACTCTTCTTGCCCAGACTGGAGTGCAATGGCTCAATCTCGGCTCACTGCAACCTCCGCCTCCTGGGTTCAAGCGATTCTTCTGCTTCAGCCTCCCGAGTAGCTGGGACTACAAGCGCTCATCACCACACTCGGCTAATTTTTGTATTTTTAGTAGAGATGGGGTTTCACCGTGTTGGCCAGGCTAGTCTTGAACTCTTGACCTCAGGTGATCTGCCCACCTCAGCCTCCCAAAGTGCAGGGATAACAGGCATGAGGCACTGTGCCTGGCTTGTGACCCCCATTTTAAAGATGAAGAAACTGAGGCTCAGAGAGGTGCAGCGACTTGTCCAATGACAGAGGGTTAGTAAGTGGGTGGAGCCAGAACTGAATGCAGGCAGCCAATCTGCTTCTAGAGCCTGAAATCTTTGCCATGTTCATTTGTTGAGCACCTGCTGCATGCCAGGGACCAGACATCATACATCTTCTATAATTGTCACCACAGCCCATTTTTTTTTTTTGAGCTGGAGTCTTGCTCTGTCGGCCAGTCTGGAGTGCAGTGGTGTGGTCTTGGCTCACTGCAACTTCCGCCTCCTGGGTTCAAACAATTCTCCTGCCTTAGCCACCCCAGTAGCTGGGATTACAGGCATCTGCCACCACACCCAGCTAAATTTTGTATTTTCATTAGAGATGGGGGTTTCACTGTGTTGGCCAGGCCAGTCTCGAACTCCTGACCTCAGGTGATCCACCCCCTCAGCTTCCCCAAATGCTGTAGGATTACAGGTGTGAGCCACTGCACCCGGCCTTAAGTTCCTTTTTTTTACAGATGAGGAAATGGAGGCACAGAGAGGTGAACTTGCCCGAAGTCACTCAGCAGGATGCAGTGTGTCCAGCTCCAATACCGAGCCCAGGTCTGAGTGCCCAGACAGGACTCCAGAAGATTTGGGGAACTATCCACTGCCAAGGTGACTGGGCTGGACTTGGTCTTGGGCCTTCCAGCTGGTGGCACCTCTGTGGTGGTCCTGAGGAGTTGGTGGCTGGATAGCCATGGTAGGGGAGCAGAGGCTACCCATCCCTCCCCTCAGTGGTAGTGGTCAGGGATGGTCAGAGATGGACCTGAGGCAAGGCAGCAACCAAGTGGCAATTGCCACTCCTGACTCCCACACAGGACTCTGTCCTGTGCACTGACCTTAGCATTCAAGGCTGTGCTTGTCCTCAGCCCCCGAGTTCCCCTTTAGTCTTCTCTGGAGAGAGGAAATTTTCTGTTCAGAGAGGTCAAATGACTTTCCCAGGGTCACCCAGCTAGCAGGTGGCAGAGCCAAGACCCAACCTCAATGAGTTTAACTTGAAACCTTGGGCCTGTGTGCTGCTCCTCTCTCAGAGAGGCCTGGAAAATGGCCAGCTTCCTCCTGGCCTTTTGTTCTTGGGCACAGGGCTGATCTTTTCTTATAATTCCTTTTGTTTTTCTTTTCTTTTTTTTTTGAGATGCAGTTTCACTCTGTCGCCCAGGCTGGAGTGCAAAGGTGTGATCTCGGCTCACTGCAACCTCTGCCTCCCAGGTTCAAGCAATTCTCCTGCCTCAGCCTCTGGAGTAGCTGGGATTACAGGCACCCACCACCACACCCATCTATTTTTTATATTTTTAGTAGAGACGGGGTTTTACCATGTTGGCCAAGCTGGTCTCAAACTCCTGACCTCAGGTGATCTACCCTCCTTGGCCTCCAAAGTGCTGGGATAACAGGTGTAAGCCACTGTGCCCAGCTAATTCCTTTTGATTTTCTTGGCATCCCCCTCAATGTGAGGTTACATTACTGCTGAGTTAGCATCCAACAAAGAGGTGTTACTGATGTCACTTAGTGGCAGAAACGCCTGCATTTGTTTACCCTTAGGAAGCCCTTTCTCACTAGGGAGCATTTGTGCTAGATGAGCCGCTGTAAGAGGCTGGAAACATTATAAGCAGCAGCTGGGAGCCCCTCTGCTCAAGGAGACTCTAGGTGCCCAGGGACAGCGGGGAGCCCAGGACATCAAGCTCAACATCAAATCTTGGCCCCACTTCCCTCCTGGTTCCAGGTGTGGAGCCTGAAGGAAGGCAGAGGAAACGAACTCTTACAAGGGTTTGCTCTGGGCCACTGGGCTGTGTGTGCCACACAATCACCTCCCTGAATTTGGCATGGTTCCAGGCTTTGGGGCTGGAGTGGGTTCGAATCCTAGCTCTGCCACTTCCTAGCTGGATGACCTTGGGCATATGACTTAGTCTCTCTGTGCCTTGGTTTTTCCATCTGCAAAATGGGAACACTACTAGGCTCACATGTCAGGGTAGTGGTAAGGATTACATGAGAGATACCAGGTGTGGTGGCTCATGCCTGTAATACCAGCACTTTGGGAGGCGGAGGCGGGCAGAACAATTAAGCCCAGGAGTTTGAGACCAGCCTGGGCAACATGGTGAAACCCCATCTCTACTAGAAATACAAAGAATTAGCTGGGTGTGGTGGCACACACCTGTAATCCCAGCTACTTGGGAGGCTGAGGCAGGAGATTCATTTGAACCCAGGAGGCAGAGGTTGCTATGAGCCGAGATCTTACCACTGCACTCCAGCCTGGGCGACAGAGTGAGACTTGGCCTCAAAACAAAAACAAAAATAAAATAAATGAGAGAGTAAGTGCTCAGCTGTTAATACTTTTATACTGATCATAGTAATGCTGTGGTGTGTGTATTTGTTAGGACAAGTGAGGCTAAGCTGTGTTGACAAAGAGATGCAGGCCGGGTGCAGTGGCTCACGCCTGTAATCCCAGCACTTTGGGAGGCCGAGGTGGGCAGATCACCTGAGGTCAGGAGTTCAAGACTAGCTTGGCCAACATGGCGAAACCCCGTCTCTACTAAAAAATTACAAAAATTAGCCTGGTGTGGTGGCAGGTGCCTGTAATCTCAGCTACTCAGGAGGCTGAGGCAGGAAGAATTGCTTGAATCTGGGAGCAGAAGTTGCAGTGAGCCGAGATTGCACCATTGCACTCCAGCCTGGGCGACAGAGTGAGACTTAGTCTCAAAAAAAAAAAGATGCAAAAAAGTGGTGGCTTAAATATGATAGGACTCTGTTTCTCTCTCATAGGACAGTGCAAGTGGAGGAGGTCCAGGGCTGATGGGCAGCTCTGCCATTCAATCTGTGGTTTCCATCTCTGACTCTAAGCTGGATACTGTGGTTTCCAGAAGGTTGGGGGAAGGAATACCAGGGAAAGGCATCTGTAATTGTTTTAACTGCCAGACCTGGATGTGGCATGTTATTTCTGCTTGCTGCCATTGATGAGAACTGAGTCACATAGCTCTCCTAGCTGCGAGGGAGGCTGGAAATGCAGTCTTCAGCTGAACGGTCGTGCACCCATCTAGACCTCTGTTACTTTAGGAGAAAACTAGAATGCATTGGCGAGAAATATACCAGGGTGAGTTTTATGATCTCCATTTCGCAACCGAGGAAACTTGCCCAGAATCTCGCAGTGAATAAATAGTAGAGGTGGGATTTGAACTCTGATCTTCCAGTTCCCAAACTCTGTACCAGGTTGCCCCATTGTGCTTAGGCCTCCCAGTTCTCCATCACCAAGGGGGCTTACAGGAATCAACAGGGGAATGAATTCCTCTTGGACAAGAAGTGGGGTTTCAGAGTTGGTAGTGTCCTGGCTGCAGTGCACAGCACAGATGGCAGGTCTGGGCCTTGGGATTTCTGTGGTGTCTAAGGGAATGGTGGATTTGGCCTCTCAACTTTCTTTACATCCATTCTCTCCAGCAAGAGCTCCTAACTGTTCTGGAAACAAGAATGTTTCCTCCACAATCCCATCACTCTAACAAGCCAATGCTGTGTGTGTCTGCCTGCCTCCTTTCCTCCCTCCTTCCCTTTCCTTCCTTCCTTCCTTTCCTTCCTTCCTCCCCTTCCTCCCTCCCTCCCTCCCTCCCTCCCTTCCTTCTTTCCTTCCTTCCTTTCTCCCTTCTGTCCTCCCTCCCTTCCTCTTTAAGTGTTTCCTCATCTTCTGGGTCCTGTACACAGGCATTCACAAGACCACATGGTTGCAATCATAGCAGAGGCAATTGTATGTTCTGCTTTGTCTATTTTAACTTACACCCTAAGCATTCTTCCACGTTGCTACATGATAATCATAGTTATGTTTGCAGCTGCCTGCTGTCATTCTGGTCTTGCTGCCCCCAGGTCTACCTTCCACTCAGCCCCTGCAGGGAAGTGTCTTAAGATGTGAGTCTGATCCTGTGACTTCTCTGCTTAAAGCCATCACTGGCCTCCAGGACAAAGGATAGACTTCTGGCCAGGTGTGGTGGCTCATGCCTGTAATCCCAGCACTTTGGGAGGCCGAGGTGGGCGGATCACTCGAGGCGAGGAGTTCGAGACCAGCCTGGCTAACATGGTGAAACCCCGTCTCTACAAAAAATACAAAAATTAATGGGGCATGTTGGCGCATGCCTGTAATCCCAGCTACTCGGGAGGCTGAGGCATGAGAATCACTTGAACCCAGGAGACGGAGGTTGCAGTGAGCTCAGATCTTGCCACGGCACTCCAGCTTGGACAACAGAGTGAGATTCTATCTTTAAAAAAAAACAAAACAGGATATGCTTCTGGGCCTGACACCCAAGGCATCCAGACGCTGGCCCTGGTGACCCCCTTACCTCCTCTCCCCCATGCAGCCAGGGTCTTGGCAGGAAGCAGAATTCAGCCCAGATGATTCCAATAAAGAGACTTTAATGGAGGAATGACTTCTAGAGAGTAGGGTGAGGGGACCCAACAAGGAAGTGGGGGACGCAGAGGCCAGCAGCAGCAGCAGACACTCTATGGCAGAGGCACTGGGGTGGCAAGGGAGCTGGGAAGCAATGCCCCGTCTTCCTCCTCTTCCCTCTCTGCCATCTTCTCTGAGTGCCTCCCATTGGCTCAATCCCACTGGAAGCCAGAAGGCCTGGGGAACTGGGACAACAGGGACCAATACGTGTCAGAGAAGGACAGACGATGGACCTGGTGGGTGTGTGGGGCAAATGGAGGACCTCCTGTATACCCCCAGCACCCCCAGGCTTGGGACTCTTGCTGGCATCTGCACCTTTGTAGTGGCAGTGCCCTACTGGATAAACCTGTCAGTCCTTCTCCACCTGGCAAACTCCTGCATCTTCAGTCTCATTTGGACATTCCCGTTTCTGTACCTCCATCGTGGTACTCAACACACAGCAATCAAGACTGCCTGCCCACGACTCTGCCCCCTCCCTGGACCAAGCTCCTTCAAGGAGTGACCCCATCTTTTAATTGTTGAGAGCACGCAGTAAATGGCAGGTGAGCAGGGCTAGGGTGACATGAGTGAGGCAGTAGCCCTTGGTGTGAGATTTAAGCGGGGGAGGAAGGGAGTTTGCTAGAAATCTTAGTAATCAAGACAAAATATTTGAATACAATATTTAAAAAAAAATCAAATCATCAAACTACAGCCCATGGGTTGGCTACCTCTTTTGAGCGCCCACCCAAACTGGAATAGCTCCCAAGACCTCTAGCATGGTGTTCAAAAATTATTTTTGAGTTGGGCGCAGTGGCTTATGCCTGTAATCTCAGCACTTTGGGAGGCCGAGGCGGGCTGATCACTAGGTCAGGAGATTGAGATCATCCTGGCTAACGCGGTGAAACCCCGTCTGTACTAAAATTACAAAAAATTAGCTGAGCTTGGTGGCACGCACCTGTAGTCCCAGCTACTCGGGAGGCTGAGGCAGGAGAATTTCTTGAACCCAGGAGGCGGAGGTTGCAGTGAGCAACCTCCACTCCAGCCTGGGCGACAGAGCGAGACTCTGTCTCAAAAAAAAAAAAAAAGGGTTCACAATGCAGGACTCATCTTTACTTAACATACCCTCTATTCACCCTGATATTTTCTATTCTAGTCTAGTTTATTTGGCGTCATTAAAAAGTGCTGCTCATACCTTTCTTTTCTTTTCTTTCTTTTTTCTTTTTTTTGAGATAGAGTTTCACTCTTGTTGCCCAGGCTGGAGTGCAATGGCATGATCTTGGCTCACCACAACCTCTGCCTCCTGGGTTCAAGCGATTCTCCTGCCTCAGCCTCCCGAGTAGCTGGGATTACAGACATGTGACACCATGCCTGGCTAATTTTGTATTTTTAGTAGAGACGGGGTTTCTCCATGTTGGCCAGGCTGGCCTCAAACTCCCAACCTCAGGTGATCCGCCCGCCTCAGCCTCCCAAAGTCCTGGGATTATAAGCGTGAGCCACCATGCCCAGCCTGCCCATAACCTTTCAAATTCTGGCTTGAAAAACATTGAGCCTGTCATATCATCCTGCTTAATTTTCTCTGCTTTTAGCTGCCTGATACTTCCTTCTTATGATTTGTCTCTTTGCTGATCTCCCGTCTTGCCTTCGGGGTACAGCTCCCTGAAAGCAGGAACCCCATCTAGCTTGTCACTGCTGTCTTCTCAGCTCCGGGAACAGCGTCTGGCACGTAGGCGGCAGGTGTCCCGCAGTGAGCTGTTGAGCAAGCGAGTGAGTGGTGTTGGAGCAGAGGGGATGTGGGCCCTGGAAGCCAGGCTTTTCTAATTGCCTTGTTTTCCTCCCCTTCCCAGTTTGCCCTGGGGCCCCAGCCTGGCCCGGGTCACCCTGGCATGAGGAGATGGGCCTGTTGCTCCTGGTCCCGTTGCTCCTGCTGCCCGGCTCCTACGGACTGCCCTTCTACAACGGCTTCTACTACTCCAACAGCGCCAACGACCAGAACCTAGGCAACGGTCATGGCAAAGGTAGGCGACCTCCTGCACCCGGCTCTTTGCTCCCCTGGGTGACCTAGACCTCCTTGGCTCTTGCTGTGATCTGAGGGTTCCAGGCTGGGACAGGGACAGCAGCCCTGTTCCAGCAGGGCCCTTGTAGTGGGCCAGCTTGCTTCTCAGACAGGGGAAGGGGTGAGTTCATTTTCCTGTGTTCGCCAGCCCCTTCGTCATGGGGCCCAATTCACTTAGGCTTTTTACTTTCCCTAAAAGTCTTGCCAGTTGTTCAAGGTCCAGCTTGAATGTGTCCTCCCCTGGTCCCCCCAGTGGAAAGGGGACCTGGGGTCGAATAGATGTGAGTTTGAATGTTTTTTTTGTTTGTTTTTGAGATAAAGTCTCACTCTGTTGCCGAGGCTGGAGTGCAATGGCACGATCTCGGCTCACTGCAACCTCTGCCTCCCGGGTTCAAGCGATTCTCCTGCCTCGGCCTCCCGAGTAGCTGGGATTACAAGCATGTGCCACCATGCCTGGCTACTTTTTGTATTTTTAGTAGAGAAGGGGTTTCACCATGTTGGCCAGGCTGGTCTTGAACTCCTGACCTCAGGTGATCCACCTGCCTCGACCTCCCAAATTGCTGGGATTACAGGCATAAGCCACCATGCCTGGCCCGAGTTTGAATCTTATAATTCTACCTCTTACTAGCTGTGTGGCCTTGGGCAGGGAACGTTTTAAAGTAGCAGTTATTGTGCACCCAACATGGGTTGGGCGCGCTTCTAGATATTTTGCATATGTCGTCTCCTGTAATCACAAAAGCCCTGATGTAGGCAAGGGTGAAAATATACCTTTTTTTTTTTTTTTTTAAGATGGAGTCTCACTTTGTTGTCCAGGCTGGAGTGCAGTGGCGCGATCTTGGCTCACTGCAGCCTCTGCCTCCCAGGTTCAAGCGATTCTCCTGCCTCAGCCTCCCAAGCAGCTGGGATTACAGGCATCTGCCACCACACCTGGCTAATTTTTGTACTTTTAGTAGAAATGGGGGTTTCTCCATGTTGGCCAGGCTGGTCCTGAACTCTTGACCTCAGGTGATCCACCCGCCTCAGCCTCCCAAAATGCTGGGATTACAGGCGTGAGCCAACGAGCCTTGCCGAAAATACACATTTTTAACCATTAGTGCAGCACGGGTGCTGACCAGGCTGAATTGATGCTGTCTGCCCTCACAGCCTGAAAGTAGATTCTATTATCATCCCTTCTCATAGATGAGCAAACTAGGCTCAGAGAGTTGATCCAGTTGTCCAGGTCAAACAGCTATTAAAAAGACAAAGCTGAGGGCTGGGTGCAGTGGCTCATGCCTATAATCCCAGCACTTTGGGAGACTGAGGTGAGTGGATCACTTGAGGTCAGGAGTTCAAGGCCAGCCTGGCCAACATACCGAAACCCTCTACTAAAGATACAAAAAATTGGCCAGGCGCGGTGACTCACACCTGTAATCCCAGCACTTAAGGAGGCCGAGGTGGATGGATCACGAGGTCAAGAGATCAAGACCATTCTGACCAACCTGGTGAAATCCTGTCTCTACTAAAAATACAAAAGTAGCCGGGCGTGGTGGCAGGTGCCTTTAATCCCAGCTTCTCAGGAGGCTGAGGCAGGAGAATTGCTTGAACCTGGGAGGCAGAGGTTGCAGTGAGCTGAGATCATACCACTGCACTCCAGCCTGAACGACAAAGTGAGACTCCGTCTCAAAAAAAAAAAAAAAAACACAAAAAACAAAAAATTAGCCGGGTGTGGTGGCGTGCACCTGTAATCCCAGCTACTCAGGAGGCTGAGGCATGAGAATTGCTTGAACCTGGGAGGAGGAGGTTGCAGTAAGCTGAGATCACACCACTGCACTCCAGCCTGGGTGACAGAGTGAGACTCTGCCTCAAAAACAACAACAACAAACTTGTTCCACTTGTTTGTGGAAGGAACGAACCAGATGGCTGGTCTCAGTAATAGCCAGCACCTGCCATGAAGAGCGCACAGCCTGGTTCAGAGACGACACATGAGCCTGCAAGTGCAGTGCTGGGTGTTTCTCACCTTTCCCTCTGCCTTTGAGTAGATGATTGTGCCTGCAGAGGCATTTTCCCTCTTTTGATTAGTCTCCTAGGTCAGCTGTAACAAATTAACACAAACTTGGTGGCTTGAAACAACAGAAATGTATTCTCTCACTGCTTTAGGCACCAGAAATCCAAAATTAGTTTCACTGTGCAGAAATCGAGGTGCGGATAGGACTGTACCTCCTGTGGCTCTTGGGGAGAATCTGTTCTTGCCTTGCCTCTTCCGGTTCTGGTGGCTGCTGGCATTCCTTGGCTGTAGCTGCCTCACTGCAGGCTCTGCCTCCTTGGTCACGTGGTCTTCTCCTCTTTTATATGCAAATCTCCCTCTGCCTCCCTCTAAACAGGTACTTGCGCATTTGCATTTAGGGCCCACCTGGGAAATTCAGGATACCCTCCCCATCTCGACATCCTTAGTTTAACCTCATCTGCAAAGTCCATTTTGCTACATAATTAGGATTTAGGGTATTTTGGGAGGCCATTATTTAGCCCACCACACCCTTTTCCTTCAGAATTTATTTTGTTATACAAGCCCTACTTTATTTATTTATTTATTTATTGAGACAGAGTCTCGCTCTGTCACCTGGGCTGGAGTGCAGTGGCGCGATCTCGGCTCACTGCAAGCTCTGCCTCCTGGGTTCACGCCATTCTCCTGCCTCAGCCTCCCGAGTAGCTGGGACTACAGGCATCCGACACCATGCCTGGCTAATTTTTTGTATTTTTAGTGGAGATGGGGTTTCACCGTGTTAGCCAGGATGGTCTCGATCTCCTGACCGCCTGATCCGCCCGCCTTGGCCTCCCAAAGTGCTGGGATTACAGGCGTGAGCCACCGTGCCCGGCCTACAAGCACTACTTTAATGAGATTTGCGGAATTTAAAAAACTTAAACTTCCTACTCATAGTTTCACTACACTACCAGGCCAACATTTCATTTTTGTCTTTCCCTTTTGTCCCTGAATATGTAAGCAAAGTCATATATAATCCCCCCACCCAGGGGAACCACTGTTAACTTTTTAGGTATCTCTTTCTAGCCTTTTCTTTTTTTTTTTTTTGAGACAGGGTCTCACTCTGTCACACCAGTGCAGTGGTGTGATCTCGGCTCACTGCAACTTCTGCCTCCTGGGCTCAAGAGATCCTTCCACTTTAGCCTCCTGAGTTAGCTGAGACTACAGGCGTGCACCACTGTGCCCAGCTAATTTTTGTATTTTTAGTAGAGATGGGGCTTCACCGTGTTGGCCACGCTAGTCTCGAACTCGTGGCCTCAAGTGATCTGCCCGCCTTGGCCTCCCAAAGTGCTAGGATTACAGGCGTGAGCCACTGCACCTAGCTGAGCCATTCTTTTATGATTTAGAAAACTTTCTCCAACAAAAACCAGCTCATGTCATACATGTGATTTTTGTATTCTCCCTTATCACCTCATAGAATAGAACTCGTTTTCTAAGTCAATGATTGAATGTACATCTACCAGATTATTTTACATGGCTGTATAGTATTTTATCATATGGATGTACATTTTCATTTTATTCAGGTTAAAGCTTCAAAGGTAGTTTACTTAAGAGAGTTGGGAAGAACCAAGGAAGTGGCCCCTAAATGATAGCCCTGCTTCATATTTATTGGACACTTTCTGTGTGCCAGGCATCCTGCCTTACCTGATTTGAACCTTACCACAGCCCTCTGTAGGGACTGTAATTAACCCATTCTACAAATGGGGAAGCTGAGTCTTGACTTCCCTGGATTACACAGCTGGGAAAAGGTGGAACCAAGGGCAAGCCCGAATTGCCTGACTCCAAACCTCTGTACCTACTGCCTCTGCAGAGCAGGACAGCTCTAATCTGAATGAGCCTGAAAGTCCCCTGGAGGCTGGACCCCATTCCCAGAGTCTCTGAGGCACTGGGACCCCACAATGTGCATTTCTGACAAATTCCTGGTGATGCTAATGCTGCTGGCCCGAGGGCCACACTTGGAGACTTCTGCATATGGCAATCTGCTACATTAGGTATAGCTCTTTTTTAGCACGATTCCTCTACAGGGAACCTCCCTGTCTGTCTCCTGCTTACCCATGAGGCTGTCCCCTTGCCTCCACCTTTTTAATTAATTAATTTGTTTTTATTTTGTTTTTGGCAACAGAGTCTTGCTCTCTCACCCAGTTTGGAATGCAGTGGTGCGATCATGACTCACTGCAGCCTTGACTTCTGGGCTGAAACAATACTCCCACCTCAGCCTCCCGAGTAGCTGGGACCACAAGCATCTACCACCATACTCAGCTAGTTTTAAAAATTTTTTTGTAGAGACAGGGTCTCACTTTATTGCCCAGGCTGGTCTCAAACTCCTGGGCTGAAGCGATCCTCCTGTCCTGGCCTCTCAAAGTGTTGGGATTATAAGCGTGAACCACCGTGCCTGGCCCCTGTCCCCACCTTGAGTAAATCAAGCATGTCTTGAAGTCTAGACCCAAGAGAATGAATCAGTGAGGTCCCAACAGGGGCTCCCAAGTTAAAGATGAGGCAGCCTTAGCCTATGAACTTGATTCTTTTGTTGCATGTTGAGTTCTGTGTGTATTTGTAACTCTGAGCCGTGAGCGTAGTCTCCTTTAGAAGTTCTGCCCTTAGCTCAGTAGGCTGCTCCGTATTTGGGAAGAGTTATGGTGGACAGCTGGACCAGAGAGTAAAGCCAGGGCTGTGCTGTCCTCTGGCCAGTGTGGTGGGGAAGGAAACTCCGACGGATCCCTATCAGGGCCACTTGTCCTGGCCATGTACCTCATGTGGGGTGGCTCTTGTTGCCTGCTCCATTGGTTAGATTTTATGCATAGCAAACCACCCAAAACTTAGTGACTTCTTTAGGATGACAGCCATTTGTTTAGCTCATGATTCTGTGGGTCAGCATTTTGGAGTGGGCTCCATTTCTTCAGGTCTTGCGGTTGGGTCTTGCAGATGTGCCTGCCCATGGTGGGCAGGTCAGCTGGGGGCTGGTTGCTGTAGGATGGCCTCAGCTGGGGCGCCCTGTCTCTGTTCTGTGTATTCTCTCATCCTCTAGCAGGCAAGCCTGGCCATGTGCTCATGGTGGCTGGCAAAGTCCTAAAAAAAGAGTGGAAGCAGCAAGGCCCCCTGGGACCTATGCTCAGAGCAGGCATGATGGATAACAGTCACTTCCAAGGCATTCAGTTGGTCAAGCAAGTGGCAAGGCCAGCACAGATTCAAGGGGGTGGGGGAATAACTGTCATCTCTTGATGGAAGGAGATGCAAAGTCACATTGCAGAGCATGTGGATACAGGGAGGGGTGGAGCATGGTGGCCATTTTTGCAATCTGAGCCTGTAGGAGCCGTGGATGAGGGTGTGCGGTGGCCCTTGCAGGGGTACAGATGTGCTTCAGCAGGTCTCATCTGCACCCTGTCTCTCCCCCAAGACCTCCTTAATGGAGTGAAGCTGGTGGTGGAGACACCCGAGGAGACCCTGTTCACCTACCAAGGGGCCAGTGTGATCCTGCCCTGCCGCTACCGCTACGAGCCGGCCCTGGTCTCCCCGCGGCGTGTGCGTGTCAAATGGTGGAAGCTGTCGGAGAACGGGGCCCCAGAGAAGGACGTGCTGGTGGCCATCGGGCTGAGGCACCGCTCCTTTGGGGACTACCAAGGCCGCGTGCACCTGCGGCAGGACAAAGAGCATGACGTCTCGCTGGAGATCCAGGATCTGCGGCTGGAGGACTATGGGCGTTACCGCTGTGAGGTCATTGACGGGCTGGAGGATGAAAGCGGTCTGGTGGAGCTGGAGCTGCGGGGTGAGATGCTAACGGGGACTGGGTGACACTGGGACCTGAGAGCAGAGGGGAGAGGACCAGAGAAAACATCCAGACCTCTGTGCTTTAGACATTTAAAAGTACTTAATTCTCAAAACAACCCACATGGAAGCTACTGTTGTGACCCCCATTTTACAGGTGAGAAAACTGAGGCACAGAGAGGTCAAGTAACTTACCTAAGGTCACACAGCTTGTAAACGACAGAGCTGGGGTCTGAACCCAAGCACCCAGCCTCTAGAATCTGTTCCCCTCTACCCGCTGTAATTCACATCTCATTCAGAGAGAGGAAAACCAGAGCTGGTCCCACAGCTTATTAGAGACAGAGCTGAGATTTAAGCAAGGTTAGCGGGTAACACAAGCGAATGAGGCAGCCCACTGTGAGACGATGGGAGTGGTGGGGACTGGGCACACTCCTGAGCCCTTGTCCTGTGCCCAGGGAGCTCCCACACTACTCAGGCCCAGCTGATGATGCCACGCCAGAATGCAGACCCCACTGCCAAATTTTCTGGCTTGACAAGATAAGCTTATATTTTTATGTGAGATCTCCTGATTTTTATGTAAAAACCTCCTTTTTAAAAACAAAACAAAACAAAAAACAAACAAAAAGCCCCCCCAAAACCAAAAACAAAAACCCAGTGCTGTCCAAACCAGCCACACCCTGCAAGCCGGATCTTGTATGTGGGGTCCCTGTTTGATCTTTAATTTGTATTTACCTTCTCTGTCTCTAGGATGGGGCTGTGTGTCCTCACATCTCTCCCACATGTTAGGGAGGCAGTTCGGGGATAGAGGAAGGTGACCTGACTTTAGCCCCAGCCCGTCCCAGCTATGACATGTGGGTAAATGCCTCATCCCCCTTAGAGCCCTGGGCCTCTCAGGTGTAAAATGGGGTATCACAATCTTTCCTCCTTTACCTCCCTCAGAGGCAATGAGGATAAGATGTATGTCCTTAAAATGCGTTCTCTGTCTTTGCCACCAGTGTCCACATGGCTTACATGGTGGCTCAGAGGGGCCGCATTCCTCATTCTTGAAGTTGGGGTGGCAGTGGAGTTGGGGAGAACCTGCAAGAGTCATTGGTCTGGGGTCTGCAGGGGCAGCCTAGAGAAACAGGGAGCCCTCACCCCATTCCCGGGGCTTCAAGGGCTAGGAATTTGGGGTGGAACCAGGCATGAAATAGTCCCCCTGCAAACACACGTAGAGGCTGCAAGCTGACTGTCAGGGCCCATGGGCTTCTCTGCCGCCCAACCTGGCTTTGCCCAGGTGCCTGGCTTCCGGCCCTGGTGAGATCGGAGGTTTGGGGCTCAGGCTGTTCCTGGGTCCTTGGCCACACGGAGGAGATTCCAAAGTGTCCTTCCCAGACCCCTAGGGTCACCTCCACTCCCTAAGGTTTCATTGACTTGGTAGAGACTACATCTCAGAAGTTTAAAAACTTTTTATTAGAGTAAAATTTCAAACACGAACATATCTTTTCAGGGCCTGTGGCCTCTATCAGACCCTGACCACAAGGAGAGAAACCGCCTGCCCCAGACCTCCCTGCCCTTGAGCCTCCTTTATGGAAGGCCCTTCCCCAACCCTCTCCCCACGGCCTCTAGGGCCTCTCCTTCTCCTGAAAATCATCTGCCACACGTGGAAAGTTCCTTGCATTTTCCTAGGAAATTTCCACATTCATAATAACGTAGACGATCGGGTCCCAGCTAACGAGTGGGGAGCTGGGAGTCAAACCTGGCCCCTAGAGCCCAAAGCCCGGGCCTGTCTGGAGAAGATGGCACAGCCTCACTGGGGGTCTGGCGACAGCCTTGCGGATTAGGTTGGGGACATTGTTGGGGACATTAATGGACTAATTAATTACCTTAACTCATGGATGTTTTCTGAGTACTGCTGTGAACCAGCTGAGTCCCAGGAGAGAGGCGGCAACGGACAGGAGGTCAGAGGTTTGCTGAGTTTTTCTGAGGGATGGTGTATGTGTGTGTGTTGCAGGCAGCACATGTCCCAGTGAAGGTGGGAGGAGAGCGGGGTGTCCAGCCAGCTGGGCCCCTGGCCACCCCCTAAGCTCCTCTTTCCTTCCCCTGCAGGTGTGGTCTTTCCTTACCAGTCCCCCAACGGGCGCTACCAGTTCAACTTCCACGAGGGCCAGCAGGTCTGTGCAGAGCAGGCTGCGGTGGTGGCCTCCTTTGAGCAGCTCTTCCGGGCCTGGGAGGAGGGCCTGGACTGGTGCAACGCGGGCTGGCTGCAGGATGCCACGGTGCAGTACCCCATCATGTTGCCCCGGCAGCCCTGCGGTGGCCCGGGCCTGGCACCTGGCGTGCGAAGCTACGGCCCCCGCCACCGCCGCCTGCACCGCTATGATGTATTCTGCTTCGCTACTGCCCTCAAGGGTGAGTGGAATAGCCAAGCGCGGGCCTGTGGGTTTGGTGGCCACCTGGGACCTGTGAGAGGGCAGCTTCTGGGGAGCTCTGGCCCCCTCTGCTGGCTCTGCTGGTACTGCCACCTGGAGGCCAAGAGCACCAGCCACCCTAGAAGCAGCATCTGGTTGAGTTTTGAGTGCTTTGCTGCTGCTGCGTTATGCAGGGCATAAATCATTGGTTTCTTCATTCATCAAATGTTTACTGAGTGCCTACCATATGCTGGGGCCTAGACTAGGCTCTCGGGAATCACAGACGAATAAAACACAGCCTGTCTTCACAAAGCAGCTCATTTCGTAGGAAGATGAACAAGTAAAAACAGAAACTGGTTCAGTGTCATATGCCAAGCCCTTGGAAAAGTGTCTGACACATAGTAGGTGTTCAGTAAATGACCGAATGGGCAAGAGACTCTGACTGGTCCAGCCTAGGTGGGGTGCCCACCCACCTAAATAGGGAAGGGTGGTGGGGGAGTGCAGACATGTCTGGAGGGACCTGGGTTCTATGGCAGGTGGGACAGAGCTCTCTGGGACAGGGTGAAGATTAGAAAGTGTTCTCTGCAGATGCCTGCAGTATGGTAGCTCCCTGGGCTCAGACGGGTCTTTGGGGCTGGCATCTCTGCAGACCCCGCTGTGCTCTCTGGCTGCCCCCTGCGCTGTACGGCACTCACGCCCCCTTTCCCCCAGGGCGGGTGTACTACCTGGAGCACCCTGAGAAGCTGACGCTGACAGAGGCAAGGGAGGCCTGCCAGGAAGATGATGCCACGATCGCCAAGGTGGGACAGCTCTTTGCCGCCTGGAAGTTCCATGGCCTGGACCGCTGCGACGCTGGCTGGCTGGCAGATGGTAGCGTCCGCTACCCTGTGGTTCACCCGCATCCTAACTGTGGGCCCCCAGAGCCTGGGGTCCGAAGCTTTGGCTTCCCCGACCCGCAGAGCCGCTTGTACGGTGTTTACTGCTACCGCCAGCACTAGGACCTGGGGCCCTCCCCTGCCGCATTCCCTCACTGGCTGTGTATTTATTGAGTGGTTCGTTTTCCCTTGTGGGTTGGAGCCATTTTAACTGTTTTTATACTTCTCAATTTAAATTTTCTTTAAACATTTTTTTACTATTTTTTGTAAAGCAAACAGAACCCAATGCCTCCCTTTGCTCCTGGATGCCCCACTCCAGGAATCATGCTTGCTCCCCTGGGCCATTTGCGGTTTTGTGGGCTTCTGGAGGGTTCCCCGCCATCCAGGCTGGTCTCCCTCCCTTAAGGAGGTTGGTGCCCAGAGTGGGCGGTGGCCTGTCTAGAATGCCGCCGGGAGTCCGGGCATGGTGGGCACAGTTCTCCCTGCCCCTCAGCCTGGGGGAAGAAGAGGGCCTCGGGGGCCTCCGGAGCTGGGCTTTGGGCCTCTCCTGCCCACCTCTACTTCTCTGTGAAGCCGCTGACCCCAGTCTGCCCACTGAGGGGCTAGGGCTGGAAGCCAGTTCTAGGCTTCCAGGCGAAAGCTGAGGGAAGGAAGAAACTCCCCTCCCCGTTCCCCTTCCCCTCTCGGTTCCAAAGAATCTGTTTTGTTGTCATTTGTTTCTCCTGTTTCCCTGTGTGGGGAGGGGCCCTCAGGTGTGTGTACTTTGGACAATAAATGGTGCTATGACTGCCTTCCGCCATCCCCAGCCCTTTTCTGTGTCTCCATCTCGTTCGGTCTCAGGGCGCAGCCCCCTGCCTGGTGGGTGTGGTGGGGGCAGTTCTAGCCCAGGCTTCATAGGTTGGCTGGGTCAGGTCCCTGGGGTGAACAGGGAACTCTGCGGGCTGGTTCTAGCCTTGCCTGCTCAATGGTTCACCCGGTCCTGGGTGCTGGCCTAGTGGCAGAGGACCTGGCTTCTGTCTTCACCATCCCCACCCCTTGGCAGTGCGTCTGTCTGTGTGAGGCTCAGCAGAAGAGCCAGAGGTGTCTGTCAGAAGACAGAGGAGGCTACGCCCTCCAGAGGACCTCAGAGGCCAGGGATCTAGGGGCCAGTGCTCCGTGTGCCTCACCCTCTGCCTCCCACTCCCACCCCCGCCTCAGGAAACTTGACTTGTTGCCTTGCGCAGGAACGCCTCTGCCACTCACCAACCAGTTATTCCTTCGGTTCTTCCCTTAGCTCAGTGCTCCTCATAGTGTGGTCGGCAGCATCAGCATCACTGGGATCTTGTTAGAAGTGCAAATTCCTGGGCCCCAGCAGAGACCTGCTGAGTCAGAAAGTCTGGGGTGTGGACCGGCACCCTCTGTTGTCACCAAAGCCCTTTAGGTGATTCTGATGCACGTTCAAGTTTGAAAACCACTGACAGTCGCACCACCAACTAATCAGTTAATGAAGTAATGATTGAGCGCCTACTATGTGACCAGTGCTGTACACTCTACTTTGGCCCACTGTTCTTTCTAGAGGTAGAGATGCAAGTATGTATATATATACGAACAAACAGCTGTACACACGCCCACGCCTGAAAAGATACCAGGACCCAGGAACTCACACTGGCCTGCAAGAACCAACACACACACATATTCACACAGACTCAATGGCGTGTCCAGCGACTGTGACGAGGGAGGCGTCTGAGGAGGTGGCACTGGTGGAAGGATACTGCCTGGCATGCGTGTGTGGGCTCAACTCTCAAGGTTTGTCAGGGGAATCCGTAAACAATTAGAATTGTTTTCATTGCTATTCTACAGTGTACTTTTTTTATTTTTTATTTATTTTTTATTTTTTTGACAGAGTCTTGCTCTGTTGCCCAGGCTGGAATGCAGTGGTGCGATCTTGGCTCACGGCTCACTGCAACCTCCACCTGCCGGGTTCAAGCAATTCTCCTGCCTCAGCCTCCCGAGTAGCTGGGATTACAGGTGCATGCTGCCATGCATGGCCAATTTTTGTATTTTTTTAGTAGAGACAGGGTTTCACCATGTTGGCCAGGCTGGTCTTGAATTCTTGACCTTGTGATCCACTGGCCTCAGCCTCCCAAAGTGCTGGGATTCCAGGCGTGAGCCACTGTGCCCGGTCTCTATAGTGTACTTAAGGGCAGGATGCCCAGACCTTTTTGCTAGTAGCTGGCAAGCAGTTTACCTTGAAAATGTGTAAGCAAGATTCACTGTTCTCAGACTGTCTGCAGTTTGTTTTTTCCTTCCCTTCTTATAAATCCTGATTTTTGCCTCTGTTCTTGGATTCAGTCTACCAACCCACCAGAGCAGTGTGATCACAAAGAACCAAAGCATGCAAGGTGACCAGATGTCTGGCTTGAGTTGCTCTTTGACAGTGCCCACTTGTAAATCCATATGGCACCGACTGACGCATGTCACACGTGACAGGCACAGCCAGGTACACACATGTAGAGACATATCACATGTGCTTACATGCAGATCATCTACCAAACACATTGGGACCCTAGGAAAAATAAAGCACGACAGATGTGACTGTCCTAGGCGCTCTGAACAGACCAGAGTCACAGAGTCACACCAATTTGAGATCATTTGATCAAAACCTGTCTCCACTGCCACCATTCCTAAGACCCCTTTGGGGGACTCCGGGTCATGATTGCCTTCTTCTTAAATTAAAAGAGGGAAAAGAAAAGAGATAGATCTCTTCCAATGTCTTTATTATTATTATAATATTATAATCTTCAGTTTTCAAAAATATAAATAGGTGCACGGAACCCTGGTGCCTGCACGGTCCCGGGGGCGGGGGTGGGGAGGGGAGAAGGTTGGGCGGCACCCCCCACTGGGCAGGAAG
This sequence comes from Homo sapiens, assembly GCF_000001405.40. Taxonomy (NCBI): domain Eukaryota; kingdom Metazoa; phylum Chordata; class Mammalia; order Primates; family Hominidae; genus Homo; species Homo sapiens. Next base: position 88,875,202 of record NC_000015.10, on the reverse strand, counting down.
TGCCCCCAGCAGCCCTGCCGAGTTGCCACCTGTTAGGGTGGCAGACCCAGGTGAGAGAGAGGACACTGAAAGAGGGACCCTTGGAGGGAACCCAACTCCCAGGCAGCGGAGGTCCCTCTGATGGCTCTCTCCTGCCGGCTTACCCTCGGCAGGAGGCAGGAACCCACCCCTCTCCCCCAAGGCTTTTCCCTCATACAGATGGTGTAGCCCTCCTGGCTCCTTCTCATCCAATACATTCAGCTGCGGTTCCGAGTTCTTCCTGCTCTCAGGCCTCTGCTCCTTCCAGCTCCTTTGGAGCCCTCCTCCCTCCTCCCTAGCTCTCCCTGGAGGTGAAATAACCAACGATTGCACTGCTCTTGGATAAAGTCAGGAAACAAAAATAATCTTCTTTATTTAACTTAACCCCTCCCCTTCTCCCCCTGTCCCTGCACTGGTCCCTGGAAAGGCACGATGGGAAATTGAAGAAATGTCTCTAAACTCAGTCCAAGGGTTATAATAAGTTTGCTTTGCTTTGGCATTCGGCGGACAAATTAGATGCGGTTTTGCTGATTTGGAGGGGTGAGTGGGTGCATACACAAATGTGGGATTTATTTTTTTCCTTCTTTAATGGGATTCCTTATATGACAAAAAGCGACAAGAAGAGGACACCGTCTGGGTGGGATGCACGTCAGCCTGGCAGGCTCCTGGGCTCAGCGTCCTGGGTGCGTCCTGGAAGCTCTTCTCAGTGGGCTGTGCTGGGGCGGCTCCTCCGAGGGTGCCGTGAGCTCCGCTTCTGTAGTCTGCGTTTGTAGGTGGTGGCTAGGACGAAAGGGAGATGGAAAGATATCAGTGGACCTGGAAAGAAAGTGGGGCGAGCCCAGGCTCTCCCCAGACTACCCTCTCTCCCTTGTGGAAACCAGGACTCAGGCGCCTGAGGCTTTATCGGCTTTCCTGATTTGGATTTTTCTTGGACTTTCTGGCTTTTTCTCCTTCATCCTCCAAGTGAGCCCTCTCCTGGGACAAGTACGTGGCCCTTCTAAGGGCAGTGGTCAGCTATTTGTGACTGAGCAGCCCCCCGACCTCCCTTCCCTTGCTCAACCCTGTGGACGGTGTAGGGTCCCCAGGAGAGGGGACGGGGGGAAGGCTGTGCTGGCAGAATCTAACCCTGTGCTCAGCGAGATGGCCGGGGTGATGCTCACGGTCTGTGCAGGTGATCTGAGGCTCCTCCCAGTGCCCGCTGGGCTGGCACCGGATGGTGGGCATGTGGCGCTGGACAAACCCCTCTGTGCACTGGTACCGCACCAGGGAATTGATCTCATACCGGTCCTTCTTCTGCCCGAAGGTCCTGGCATGCTCCACCACAGGGGGCTCTCCGCAGGCCACTGAGGGGCAAACACCCTTTATAAAGGGTCTCATAGGGTCTCCTGGGATGACCTATGCTGGTTGTGACCCGAGGCACTGTGGGGGACACAGCCTCAACATCTGACAGTGAGCCCTGGACGTTTTCATGCAGCGCTAAGAATCTGGAAGCCGCTGGCTGTAACATCTGGGTTCCTCAACAATTTAGAACAGCAGGAAGGGAATACAAACGGGGTGGTCTTTAAAGGGATGAAGAGAAGATGAAAGGGAGGTAGAAAGGTGTGGAGGGCGAGAGCCAGGCAGACTCAGGCTTCTTGATGAAAACATCTAGTTCAGGGGAAAATGAGACTGAAAGGAGGCCTGGGGGACGCAAGGTGGTGAGCAGGGGCAGTGGGGCGCATCCTACCAGCACCTCAATGTCCACAGACTGAAAGCCAAAGGATCGAGGCCTGACAACTATGACTCTGTGATTGATGGCCTTGGGAATCCCAAAGACAGGGAGGCTCCCCATCTGGGGGCCCTTGTGGGTAACTCTGCTGCTGCTATCCAAGGGACTGTGTGGAGTGTGGAGTGGGGGTCCTGTCTTCTAGCCTGTGACCTTCATGTGCTTGCTGTCCCTGCAAACGGTCCCTGGCAGCGAGCTTGCCCTTGCCATTGGCCCTGGGATGCCGGTGCTAGGAGGGACCCCTAGGTCAGCTCCAGTCTGCCTTTTGGACAAGTGAGGAGACACCAGCAGCCAGAAGACAAGGGACTCACCCCAGGCCACACAGCAAGAGCCTCACCTGTAGCTGGAGGTCTTGATCCTATCCTCCCCTGACCCCTCCCAGGCGCCAGCTTACCTGTGCCCTTTTTACACGTGAAGGGGAGGTGGTAATTGCAGGGAACATCATTCCACTCGCCCTTCTCGTGCCAGATCATCACCACACAGTCCTCTCCAGCGGCAAAAAAGTTGTCAGGCTGGTTGGGGCGCCAGTTCTCAAATTGCTGTGGGTGGGAGTGGGGAAGGAGTAAGGAGAGGGCAGGACAGTGCGGGTTGGCCTGCTCCGACTGTCTTCCCCGTGGAGCCTCTTCATCATCTCCTTTCTCTTTTAGCACCAACTTCAGGCTCATCTGATAGCAGCACAAAAACTGCTGGGAATCTGATCAGGGCTGTTCTAGGGGCCATGGAACCCGGTGGCCCTCTAGGGAATCAGTCACACAGCTTGGCTCAGGTCCTTCTCAGGAGCTCAGAACCCCCAAGACTCACAGGCTCTGTACATGAGCTGATTCCACACCTCTTATCCAGAAGGGCCAACCAGGGCTGACCACATTGGGTAGGGATGGATGGTAGGAACACAGCTCTTAAGTCCAGCTTCTGCCCACCAAGAAGTCCTCCCAAGACTTATCCTTCCAGCCTTGCTTCAGGACAAAGAGAATCACTGGGTGCCCGTACCATTCACTTGGCATCTATGTTGCTTTCTGTCTGTCTCCTTGAGTAGACTCGAGTTCAGTGTGGGCAAGAAACCTCTCTAAAGCTTCCGTATACTCCTCATGGTGGTGGCTGTTATTCCTTCATTTCCTTCCTGGCTCCTTGCCTCTTGCCATCATTAGCTCAATCTGTCCAGCCCCGGGCTGGGTTCCAGAGGCAGAGATGAAGGAGATAATCCCTGCCCTCAAGGGTTCCCGGTCCAGCAGCTGGTAAGCGGCTGTCTGCATGGGGTTTGAATGCATCTCTCTCCAGGGGTCTCTATCCCACTCCCTGTCCCCTGGGCCACCAGCTGTGCCTACAGCAGAACTCACCATGGGGTGTCCATCTGACCAGCGGAAGTCCCCTTCGATGGTCCTGTCGTTCAGGCCGATCCACTGGTAGTCTTGGGCATTGTCTGGGGAAAGGGTGAGGGTGTCAGGCATCACACTGGACACCCTGAGGGTGTCTGAGAAACTTGAGCTCACGGAGGCAGAGGGGATGGAGGAGGAAAGGAGGTGGGTGGGCTCCTAGGAGCAAGGCACGTGCTTCTCAGGTCCTCACAAGAGGCTCAGCACGTGCATGCCTGGAGTGCACTTCGGGCCACCTCTCCAAGCTGGCATGGACGGGTGACAGCCATAGCTTAGTCTTGGGCTGACTCTGGCTGGCAATGGGTCTGCCCTGGCTGCAGCCACAGCTTCTGGCCCCAAAGACCGTTGTCTTCTCTCTGGGAGCTCAGACTGTGGGAACACTGTTCCCCCTCCCCCAGGTCCCTGTCCTGCAGTCTCACGAGGCCCAAATCTGCTGCCTTCTGAAAGGTGAGGCCCTTTGCCTACACCGCCACTCTCCTCTCAGGCTCCAGAGGCCCCGCCGCACTCACTGTTGACAAACTCCTGCTCCTCGGGGGTGACGATGCTGCTCAGGTGTGACTGCTGCTCCCGACACCGGCGCTCAGCATCCACCCAGGTCTCGCGGTCCGGGAAGTGGCGGTAACAGTGGCCCTGGTACTTGTTCCAGCCCTCCTCACATACCTCCTGGTCTGCAACACAGGTCAGGGGCTTGAAGGGAGGGGCAGAGGCCACCAGGGGATGGCAGATGCTGCCAGTCTTATGGCATAGGTTCCTGCGTTCACCCCACCTTCCATGCTGTGCCCTCAAGGGAAGGGAGAGGCACAGCTGGAGGAGTTCAGGTTGGAAACTGGTCTGGTCCCTGGGAGCCTCTGCACATGCTTCCACTCGGGAAAATGCCAGGGGCCCTTTCCTTCCCTGATGCCACGCCCTCCCCCCTCACCCTCTCCCAAGCTTTCCTCCTCTTGATGCCTGCTCTGCTGGGCCGGCAGAGGTCAGCAGTCCAGTTCAAAAGAGGTGGGAAGGTGAGAGGTCTTGAGATTTAAGGCAAAACATGGTTCTGTGGCTCTGGGGGGCTCCAGGGAGAGAGGGAGTGGAGCTGTGGGGAAGTGTGTGGAGGCAGTGGAAGCTGGTAGCGCTGGGGCATGGAGCGGAGCTGGCAGTTTCCTTCCTGCAGAACCTCAGGTGGGAACAGAGGAGCAGAAATAAGTCTGCTTGGGGTCTGGAGAAGACTCAGAGCTCTAAGGCTGTTGATCAGAGTTGGCTTTAGTTAAGCACACTGTGCCTGCCTCTTGCAGGGGTCAGATAGCCCATTGGGGGTCTGGGATCCAGGGGCCCTGGCTTTTTATTTTGGGGGTGAATGGGAAGAGGGGAGGAGCTTCTCTCCTCACAAACCTAAATTCGTAATGGGTTCTCAGTCTGGAGAAGGGGCTGGCTTGGAGTTCTTGGACAGCCTAGGGGACAGGCGGAGCCATGCTGAGCTGGCTCACTCAGCTTTGAGAGAGCTCATTGTTAGTGTCTCCTCTCAACCTCGCCTTCAGTGACATCATGTTGATAGCTTTAAACTGGCCCCGGTGGAAGCATTTACACCTCAGGAATTGGCAGATGCTACAATCAGGGCTCCTTTCTCCTCTATGAGAGCTGGTTGTTAAACATCTGCCAGCACAGTGTGGGACAGAGTGAATTCCAAGGCCCCCCTTCTTCCTTCTTCCCCTGGGATCTCCCAGGTGGAGGGTCACAAACCCCTCAGGCTGCATGGTGGTCTCCCTGATTGGGTGCCACCATACTCTGGCTGTCCTGGAATGGAAGGACCAGTACCCGAGGGGAAGGAGTCTTAGGCTGAAGGGGTGGATGCTTGGCAAAGTGGGGGAGAGACAGTTGGGGACAGTGGAGGGAGAGCAGAACAGGGGGTCAGCAGCTTGAGAAGAAAGAACAGAGCTGTAGGAGGGGCCGTGGAGGCCTCTGGTGCCTCAGCTATGAATGCCTTCCCCAAGGGGTGAGGCTGCAGTCTGGAAAGAGGTGGAGAGGCCTCAGACTAGCTCAGCACTCTGAAGAGGCCAGAGATATCATCTTAGGGCTGACTTAGGGGGTCAGTTTTTGGCCCCTTCAGTGGCTAAGGGCTGAGCTGGGCAGGCAGAGCTGGAGGGTGCAACTTCTCTGGGAGGTGGGTATGGGAGGGCAGGGCTGTGCAGGCTGAAGATTCTTAGGAAACAGAAACAATTCCAGACTGAAAGAGGTAACAGGGACAGAGCCAAGGCAGGAGGCACCGTGGAGTGGTGAGGACTCAGGATTGGAATGGGAGAGGAGATGCAGCCCTGCTTAGCTGGGCCCCCAGGCCCAGGGCCGAGCTGGGTGGCTCTGTCACCATCTCTCTGCCCCATCAGGGTACAGAGCCCTGTGAGGGTCCTGCCTCCATTCCAGCAGAGCCCACTTTTCCAGTCTGGAACCAAATAGCTGTTGTCGGCATGGAAGTCCCAGACTCTTCTACCCTGTGGCAAATGTTGTGGTATCATGGGGAGAAAATCCTTGTAGTCTCTGCTTCCACCCCAGCCAAGACCCCATATACCAATTTCTTGGGGTCTTGGGGTGAGGATGGAGGGTGGGAGGCTGCAAGGGAGTAGGAGTGTCCAGGCCTTTTTTTTCCCAAAAGTCTTAAGTTCCTCTACCAGTCTGTAACCTTGGCAGTGCCTCAAAGGAATATGAAACCCAAAACTACCTCCTCACACTGCTTAGGACCAAAGGGAGACTTCCCAGGAGTTTCACCTGCCTTCTGGAAGTTTCTGGGTATCCAACTTGAGAGTTCATTGAAAAGGATTTTAAGCCCCTACACACTTCCAGTTCTGTCTGGGCCACTGAGACAAGTATCCAAAGGTCTCATCTCCCCTTTTCTGAGCTGGGAAATCCCCGAGATCCAGGCGGCTGGTGGGGAGACTAGGAAGCACCAAAGGTGAGAGAGCTGAGGGTTCAGTCTGTCCCTGGGAGGGTTCCTGGTGCACAGCTCCTTTTGGTAGAAGTGGTGCAGAAATGGAGAGGTTGGCAAGGCCCAAGAGAGGTAACTCAGTCCTCCCCCTTGTAACACAGTTCTGTTCTCTCTGGCCACCCTTTGCCTTGCACAAGGGAGGGAGAAAGGAAGCATAGGCTGGCATGGCATTGCCATGGCAGCTGTCACAATAGTGATGAGAAGAAGGTGACATGCAGCAGTCCTTGCTCATGCATGACTTGAGCATGCTGATGACACGGGAGATCTCAGGCAGACCAACCACAGCTCTTGCCCCAGGAGAAGAGAAAGGCAGCTTGGCCAATGTGGCACAGTGGCTCCCAGGGCCATGAAGGAACCACAAAGGTCCCATGCCCATGACCACACTGAGAAGATCCGTGGCTGTCATCTGGAATGAGAACCAATTACTCCCACCCCATAGCTTCCTTCAAGACAAGTGCTCAGAATCAGCCCTGTCCTCTTAGTCTGAACCATACACCAACCTCGGTGGTGGCATCAGTAGATCTGGAAGCCCTGGAGAAAGTCAGATCAGCCAGTGCTCCAGAAAAGGGTTTTCAAGGAGGAGAGCAAGAAAAAGAGTGGGAATCAGTGGGGCAGAATTTTCAGTTGTGGCCCCTGAAATGGCTCTCCAGATGAACCTCGGGGGCCCCAGCCAGGGCCTGGAGCCTGTTGTTAGGAGGGAAAGGTGAGGGAGGAGGAGGGGGTGCAGCAGTTAGTAACATTAGCTGAAGCCAAGACGGCCGTACCAATCTCACACAGGTCCCCTTCGTAGCTGGGAAGGCATAAGCATGTGAAAGAGTCGATGGCATCCACGCAGGTGGCTCCATTCAGACAAGGGCTTGAGAGGCACTCATCAATGTCTGCAAGAAACCAAGGGCCACCATTAGGACTCCTGCCGGCAACTCCAGCCTCACAAGCACTGTGGCCTCCTTTTGAGTGGCCAGTCCTGCTGCTCTCCAGACCCCTGGGAGGGAACTGGCTGGTTTTCCTGAGAACTGTTGCTGCTGCTGCTGCTGCTGCTGCCATCTTGGAGTGCTGAAGCAAAGATCCAGACAAGGGTTTTCTTGGGCGTGTGTGATTCTTGATTGGTAAACTTGGAGCACTGGAGCCAGATTTCCCAGTGGTTTGAAGAGATCTGATAGGTCTAAAGCCAAATGTCTTTTCTGACGGGGAACATAGAGTTCCTCCAAGATGCCTTCTCTTGTGAATATTTTGAGAGACCATGGATTCTGAAGTGGTTATGAACGTGGTGGTGAGCAAGGAAACTGAAGTCAAGTTCCTGAAGCTTGGTTAGAGGTCTTTCTTTTCCTGGCTTCCTTTGTAGTTATGACCCAGAGAAAGAGGGCAAGGCTGTGTGGGGCTAGAATGAATGACCTCGAAATGGTCTGAAGAGTGTAGATCCATATGAAAATGGCAGCATGGGATGTTTGCGTGAGACCCATCAGAGTTCTTGGGCTGCAGACATCTTTGTCTTCAGTAGATATTATTTTAGAATCTCTTATAAAAATGAAGCCTGAATCTTTCTCTCGGGAGAGGGATGGAAACCCTGTCCAACATTTCCCCATATAATCTCCTTTCAGCTTAAGGCCCCAGAAGGTGGCTATCTCCAGGGAGACACAAGTTCTAGAGGGACTCCATCCTGGCCAGTGGGAGACAAGCGTTCGGAGCTACAGAGGTGGTTAGCAAGTGGTCGCACAACAGCACTGGCACCAGTCTGGGATACAGGCACATCCCCATCCTCTGCCTCTTTTCAGATAGGCTCTTCTCTTCTGTTCTTCTGGTCCTGAGATATCCTTTCTGATCAAACTTCTTTGTGGTACTTGAATTGGTAAGTCATTGGCCATTGCCTCAAATTTTCATGAATTAGCCAAGGTGAGAACTAAATCTCCTCATCTGGTCTTTCTGCATCTTGCTGAGAAACCAGAAGACCTGGGGGATCTCTTCTGCTTTCTTCATATTTGTACTTCAAAGGTTCCTGCTGTTTTATCCCCCAACTTGGTTTCCTCCCCTGGGAACATGATAAATGCTATTATGAAGCTCCTCTTGCCAGGAGATCAGTAAAATTCTGCAGTGAGTGGGTTCCACTGGCTATGGGGCACCATGACATTGGTTTGAAGATACTGAGCCTCAGTATGTGCAGCTGTGTTCACACAGCCTTCCAGATCCAGTGACATGTCTGTAGGTGGGCTCTGCAGGACAGCGAAGCCCTGTGGTGGGAATAGGATCTCAGAGTCCTAAACATGTGCCAAGACTTAGTTCTTGCCTCCCATAAGAGCAGACCAGACCTTAAAGTCAACCTTCTGATGAGATGGTAAAGGCGGTTTCCTCTGAGTCCTTACGCTGGTGCATAGTAGACATCTTCTAGGCCAGAGGCGGATTTGTGCAACAGGTGGCCTGAAAATCCCCAGCTCTCAGGCATCTTGCTCATCCACGAAGGCCCTAATCTCCAGTTGTTGGGCATCTCTTTCTTCCCATGAAGTCTTTAACTTCATCTCGGGGGGGCACACCATAGACTAGAACCAACAGTTCCAAGTTGGAACTGTTCCAAGCAAACCCAAAATGCATGGAGGAACAGACTGAAATCCCAGCATGCACTTGGATTCCCAGCATGCCCCAGGATTCCCAGCAGCAGCAGTAGCAGCAATAGGTCAGGCCAGTCGGCAGGGCGGAAGCTGGGGGCGGCTCTCCTGCCTGTTCTCTTTTATCCATTAGCGTCATTATGGGAGATGGGAAGCACTGGGCAAGGGGAATTAAGCAAATGTAGGTGCTAAAGCAGTTGTACAGAGCAGGGAACAGGAGTGGCCTCTGGGGAGAAGAGTAAAACATCAACCCTGGGGCCTCTGGCTGCCCATGGGAGAAAGGGCAGGAAAGGAAAGACACCCCAGCGGAGGTCAGGCTGGGGGGTATCCAGTTGTCTCAGAGGCTGGTCGCATAAAACCTGCTCCCAGGCTGCCCAAGTTGGGGTGAGGGGGAGCGTTGCTTTCTTTCTGTGTTTGACCAGGGCACAAAATCTGAGAAGGCTGCGGGGACTGAAGGAACAAATTCCGGGGCTCAGAATTTTTTTTTTCACGGCCCTGGATTTACAGATGAGGAGGGAAAGAAGGGCCACAATCCTGAAAGTCAGAAAACCTGTGTTTGCAGTCAGGGTAGTTTGGAGAGGCTGAGTCAGCATCTTCAGCAGCAGGCAGAAGGCCAGGTGTCCGGTGTGGGGCTTTCTTATTAGCTGTTTTGGCCTGTGCTGTCTCATCTCCTCTTGTTCTGGCTGGAAGGGCCGTTCTGGCCCTGCATGGCCCACCTCTTTCTGAGAAGGGCAATTAGGACATCTCATGCCTTCTGGAACTGATAGAGGAGTTGGGCTGGGCCCTGCTGTGAATGCAGAGTGATGGATCCTGGATAAGGAGCTTGCAAGTGGAGGGAGGGAAGGGCTTTGGGCAATGGGCAGGCTTCATAGGGAAAGAGAGGAAAGGGAGGAAACCAGTAACTCTCAAGAACCTCCTGTGAGCCAAGTGCTGACTCACACATGTTCTCCTTCATTATCCTTCCAATGGCCAGGTG